>NC_000009.12:61518808-61735368 GCF_000001405.40 Homo sapiens | reverse complement strand
TTCTCCTTAGATTTTCTCTATATACTGTTCACCAAATTCAGTTAAAAACTATTTTAGAGATTGTCTAGGGAAAGGGCTGCATGCTCAGTCATTGACTGCTACTTACTTTGGTACAATTAGGCCTATTACATTTGAGTTCATTGGATTTGTGCTTCTCCCCACACAGGCTGACTATTCATAGCTGTTCCTGCTTGGAATACATATTGGCTTAATTAACCAGTACTATTTGGAATTCTGTGAAAATGCAAACTAATTATGAACTTTCTCTGATAAGAGACAATTTTGGCTCCTGATTATTTGCTTTTCCCTACATTTATATAACAGCAATCTCATAAAATCGAGCATTAGACCAGCATGTTATTGATTTGCACATTAGGCAATTTGCACCTCTGAATTGCTTTCCTGTCTGATATCCTCAGATGTAAAATCTTGAAAAAGAGCATGCAGTCAAACCTTTATTTGATTGTTTGATAATTGTTTTTCCTCTCTGTTTCCATTAGCATTATTTGTGGAAGACCATAGCAGTGGGAGTTCTTGTCACAGAAGTCTTGTGACCTCTGTGTTTGGTAGCTATAGACTGCAATGAGTTTATCTCTTCATAGGGGAATTTGAGAAGAGATTACTGCTACCCACTACCCAAGCTCTGGTTTTCTTTACAAAGTTTCTGCATAAATCACAACTACATAGCTTCAATGACGGACCTAACTCTTGCTTGGAAGTGTGGCAGCAGAGTTGATGGTCATGGATTTAAGCTAAAGTCTCATCACTAGTTTATTTATAGTAAACACTCTGGGGGAAACTTTTAGTTCTAGATTCTGTGCTACACTCTGGTGTTGAAATATGTGTCAGCTATGGCCTCAGCTCTCAAGGCATTAGTTGTGTTTGTGTGTATTGTGTGTTTTGAGGGAGGTGTTAGGTGATGGTTGAAAGAATGAGGAAGGGGAGCAAGATTTGAGGAGAAAACAAGCACGCACACATACATGGTTTCATTGAACAATCTGCACTTCTGAATTGTCAATACATCCATCTGATTCAGTCATAATTGAATTAGAATCATCCTGAATGGCGGTGGAAAACATTGAATATTTTTTTTCACACTGAAGCCAGAACTCTTGGGTACCATAACGCAGCAATATTGTTTGCTGGCTGTCTCTTAAACTCACAAAACACCTCTGTTTTATCATCTATAATAAATACAGACACAATATTCTGTTTTATATATGTGTATATATCTTGCAAAATTATTGTGATAATGAAAAACAAAATGTAATACGCACTGAATAATGCATAGTAGATGGGAAGCACTAAATAAATGGCTATGTAAGCAGTGATTCCTCTCTTTGTTATCTTCATTATTACAATTTCTACATAGGTTTTATTCAGGGATTTTTATAATAATGACTTTGCTTATTTTATAAAAATACTTCATGCCAAAGAGTACAAAGAAAACAAAATAAATCACCCCAAATTTTCAGAAACAACCAATGTTAACTGTTGGTGGTATTCATTTGGGTGATTTTTTTTTGTTTCTTCTTTGCACTTTTTGATATTTTTCAAGTTTAAAAGGAATAAGCACATACAATTATTATAATAGCTGTAAAATAGTTATATGTGTTTCAAATTTCATACTCCAAAAAGTTTGGATATAGATGTAAGATACATAACTATATGTATAGTGAGAGAGAGAGCTAGCAGAATAGATAAAAAATAATTTTATGATAAAAGAATACTATATCTGCTTTTTTAATTGGAAGTATTAAATTTATCTATGTGACTGCATTATTTCCTAAAAGGTCACATTTTTTAAAAAAATTTAAAAAACATTAGAAGATTGCATCATTATAATTTATTTCTTAAATTTTAATTACATGTATGTCTATGAATAATTTATGCATAAACACATATATGTAATGTCAAATCCTAAGAAAATATATACACATTAGGGAATTATCACAAAACAAACACCTCCACAACTACCACTCAGAATAACTTTTTTTTTTGCAAAATAGATTACTACTCCTTGATTTGTCTTCAAAGATACCCACTATTTGGAGTTTACTTTTCTTAATGTTTTGATATTTATATACCCACTCTGTGGTAGGCCAATAATGCCTCTGAAAGGCATGTCCAAGTCTTAATCCATGGAGCCTGACTTTATTTGAAGTAGGGCATTTGCAGATGTATTTAAGATATTTGAGGCCAGGCGCAGTGGCTCATGTCTGTAATCCCAGCACTTTGAAAGGCCGAGGCAGGTGGATTCACCTGAGGTCAGGAGTTCGAGACCAGCCTGGTCAACATGGTGAAAAGCCCGTATCTGCCAAAAATACAAAAGTTAGCTGGGTGTGGTGGTGGTGGCACCTGTAATCCCAGCTACTTGAGAGCCTGAGGCAGGGAGAATCACTTGAACACAGGAGGCAGAGGTTGCAGTAAGCCAAGATCGCACCATTGCACTCCAGCCTGGGTGGCAGAGCAAGACTCTGTCTCAAAAAAAAAAAAAAAAAAAAAAAAAAAAAAAAAAAAAGAAGAAGAAGAAAGAAAAAAGAAATTTGAGAGGAGATCATCCTGGCTTATCTGAGTGAGCCCTAAATGCCATCACAAATGTCCTTGTAAAAAGGAGACAGAGGGAGCAGAAGGCAATGGGACAATAGAAACAGAGAAGTTTGAAGATGCTGTGATGCTGGCTTTGAAAATAGAGGAAGACCCACAGGATGGAAGAGGCCATGAATGGATTATCTTTTGGAGTCTCCATTGAGAATACAGCCCTTCTGCCATCTTGACTTTAGGTCAGTGAAACAAATGTTGTACTTCTGGTCTCTCTAACTGAGAGAGAATGAATTTATCTTGTTTAAAATCACTAAGTTTGTGATAAGTTGTTACAACAGCCCCAGGAAACAAGTACACACTCATTTATTTTCTTTTACTGCTTAACATTATGCATTGTGAGTTTGACCTATGTTGTTACATGTAGTTCTAATTTGTTCATTTTCATTGCTGAATAATATTCAACATGCAATTTTAAAAATTCGTCTTTTTTTAAACAAATAATGCTGCTATGTACATCCTTGCTTGTATCTTGTGGTATAAATATGTAAGCGAGTAGCTGCATCCATTTACTTTTTCTCCAACAGTCTATGAGAATTTCCCTTGTTCTGTATCTTCATTTGTAATCGTTATTGTTAGTCTTTTAATGTTAGACAAACTAGACAAACTAGTATGTGTAGAATGGTATGTCATTACAGTTTTAATTTAAATTTCTCTAACAAATAATGAGCCATTTTCATCAGGACTGAGCCTTGGGTGAAGCAAGAGAGGCATCTAGGGTACACAATTTAAGGATGTGTTTATTCCCTTTCTTTTCTGTCCTTGTTTGTGATGAATTATTTCTACTTTATCAAACAAAATTGTAATAGGTATACAATTGATTTTTGCTTTTTGTGCATTTGTTATAAATCCAGTCACCTTACCAAACTGGCTTTTATTTCTAATTGTTTGTAGATAATTTTTGATATTTGTACATAGCCATGCCATCTCCAAAATAGCATTTACTTTCCTTTTCAACATTTACAAATTTAACTTCTTTTAATTGCCTTATCCCACTAGCTGGGGCCACTATAAATCTTTTATACTTGTTTTGATGTCTATAGAAACTGTAGTGATGTCCTCTCCTTTATTAATTTCTCACACTGGTAATTTCTGGTCTTTCTTTCTGTCTAACTGTTTATCTTTCTGTCACTCTCTTCCCCTCTTTCTCCGTGTGTATGTATGTGTGTGTATGTGTGTGTGTGTCTGTATAAAAGAATTTAAATATACGGAGAGTCCTTGACTTAATGATGGTTTGACTTACAATTTTTTGACTTTACAATACTTCAAAACAATCACAATTTCAAAATAATGTACCATATTCAATACACTACATGAGAGATTCAACACTTTCTGATAAAGTAGGCTTTCTGTTAGATAATTTTTCCCAACTGTAGGCTAATGTTAGTGCACTGAGCATGTTTAAGGTAGATTAGGCTAACCGATGATGTTTGGCAGGTTGGGTATACTAAATGCATTTTCTACTTATGATATTTTCAATTACATTGGGTTTATCAGGATGTAACCCTATCATAAGTTGAGGAACACCTGTACTATAATTATTCAATTATAAAGAGGTTCATTATTTTTTTCCAGGCAAAACTTTTTTTTTGTTGTTGATTTTTCTCTTATATGTCTGTTGTATTAGTCAGTTTTCAAATTACTACAAAGATACTAACTGAGACTGGGTAATTTATAAATAAAAATGATATTCTTGATTCACAGATCTGCATGGCTGGGGAGTTCTCAGGAAACATACAATCATGACAAAAGATAAAGGAGAAGCAATGCACATCTTACATGGCAGCAGGAGAGAGAGCAGGAAAAACTGCCACTTTTTTTTTTTTAAGACAGAGTCTTGCTGTGTAGCCCATACTGGAGTGCAGTGGTGTGATCTCGGCTCACTGCAACCTCCACCTCCCAGGTTCAAGTGATTCCCCTGTCTCAACCTCCTGAGTAGCTGAGATTACAGATGTGTGCCACTATACCCAGCTAATTTTTTTGTATTTTTAGTAGTGATGGGGTTTTGCCATGTTGGCCAGTGGGTTTTGAACTCCTGATCTGAAGTGATCCACCCACCTCAGCCTCCCTAAGTGCTGGGATTACAGGTGTGATCCATTGCACTGGACAAATCTGCCACTTTAAAAACCATCAGATCTCATGACAACTCCCTCACTATCACGGGATAGCATGGAGGAAACCACCCCCATGATCCAATTACCTGCCACCAAGTCCCTCCTTCAACACGTGGAGATTACAATTAAAGATGAGATTTGGGCAGGGAAAGAGTGCCAAACCACATCATCCTCATTTTTTTCAATAATTTCTTCATCATATCTCGTCATGTATTTATTTACATGTATTTTTAAATTGAGTACTAGGCATTATGTATGAAAAACTGAGAGTAATTTGAGGCCCTGGAAATGTTAACATTCTCTAGAGAGGAATTACATTTGCTCTTTGCAGTAAGCTAAGGACACTAGCAGGTTACTTTAATGCATCCATAAGTGTACAGATAATCAGACACTAGGTTTATGTCCCTGAGTGGGCTGGTCTTTATCGAATGTAGTCCTTGTCTCCAACTCAAAGCCTGGAGGGTACTGTGCTCCAATCCTCCCCACCACATTCCCTTGCACTCTCACAGTTACATGCATTTCACTGCCAAAAGTATTCCTTAGTTTTGCAATGTATTTTTTAACTTCCTAGAATCAGTAAAAATCTTGAGCTGAAAAGTGATGCTCAATGCCAAGCTCATCTCTTGGATCTGGGTTTTGCAATTTTCCATGGCTTTGTTAACACTTAGTGTCTCAAAGAAAATTTTGTTGTTGTGTTCCATGGGAGAGTTGATATCAATTACAAATCTGCAGTTACTGGTAGAAGTTCCTGTGGTTTCTATTTTACCTTCAGATTTTACTTTTAGACTGCTCCAGTCTACATCTTTTTATAAGAGGTTATGTGAGGACAGTTTTTTTTAATTCTCTTCTGCAACCTCTGGAGTTTTGTAAATTGCATTATTCTTGTTTTACTAAAATTTATGCCTTTATTTCTATAGTCTGCAAGAAGTTTTCTTTAGTTGCTTAATCTATGTGCTGTATTTATAGGACTTATTGTTCATCTGTCATTTCATAAAATGTCTCTTTTTACTTTCTCCTTATTTTGGCACATTCTTTGGCTAGATTTTTGGGGTGATGTTATCTGAGTTCTCTTATGTCTATTTGTTGATTGAATGACCCTTCAGGTTTTACATAATTTTTTTAGCCATCCTTTTATTTTCTTAAGAATGTCCTGGTAACATGTTTCCTCTATAAATCTACATCCAAATCCTTCCTTAATTTAAGGAATCACTACATGATAGTGAACGTTTAATTCTCTTTTATTCCAATTTGAGTTATCAATGTCAGTGCCAATTATTCTTTTTCAAGATATCATTGCCTGCACTCTTCACATGTTATCTTGTTTATAATGACTTGAATCATTTTCATTTATTAACATACATAGCTACACTCCCCCCAGAGGAATAGGAAACTCACACATGCAAAAAAAAATCCATGGGAACACCCACAACACAATTTATCCATCATCCAGTATTACTGAGTAAAGGCTCTTGGAATAAGAGTTTTCAACACAAATAGAATATGAAAAACTATAATACACATACAAAATGTGAGAGGACTTGGACATTTAAAAAACGACTTCTAGTTGAAAACTAATGTGTAGACTAACTAGCAGAAAAGATATAGGTGGAATTGATGAACATAAAATTATTAAATAAAAACAAAAAATAGGATAAATATTTTCAATGTATGATATCTGAAAACGCTAATACAATACACTTTTGACAATTTCCAAGAAAAGTAGAAAGAAAGAAGAAAATTTTTAAAATAGATAAAGATACTACACCTACAGATATGAAGAAATTTTAAAACCTCAAGCTGTAGTCATTAAATATGATTATTATCTGAATTTTAAATGCATGCACTCTTTGACTCACCCTTTGACTCTATTGTTACCATCTCTAGCAGATGCTCAGTGGTCTGATAGGATCAGTAACAACACAGCACCATTGCCAAGCCACATGGAAGCATGAAGCAAAAGAAACCTCAGTAATATTTTGTCTTTATTTAAAATGTTAATATGTTGTTCATCACGTATTTCCTGCATTAATTTTGATTTAATAAAATATTACATTATCATTTACCTTGATTACTGAGTTTATTTGACATCCATTTAGGTTCCTCACCTGAGGCAGAAAGGGCTTCACGTTCTTCACTCTGAGTCAGGACCTGCACAAGACCTAAAAATTTTACATTTATGTCCACTTAGGCAGTTGAGGTCTTGCCTTCTAAATTTCTCTATAGCTCACCACGAAGAAATGGTGTTGATGTAGGGAGAGGGCTATACTCTCGTAGTGCGAGTTCCAGGAAGATGCCCATGTGCCCCTGATAGCACTACGGAGTTTAGCAATTTCTGCCTTCACTGCTTATTTTACTTTTTCTCTTCCTCAGTTTGTTTCCATTCCAGAGAGCCAGGTCATGGACACTGGAACTAGACAAATAAGGATTGAAAACCCACTTATGTAACCTTGAATGAGTTATTTTACTTGTCTGAGTCTCAATTTTCTTATATATTAAGTGAGGATAATTTTTAATTTATAAGATTCTTGTATAAATAAATATGTACAGAAAGTCCATCATACACCTAGTCCACAGCATGGACTTAATAAATCTCATTTATCTTTTCAACTCTATTTCTGCTTCCCATTCTTCAACTTACTACTACAAAGCTAATCCATAGCTAGTATATAGTAGAAACTGAAAAAAATTGAAATGCATTTCTTTTATTGCTATAATCACAAATATGTTACATAGACCTACCTCAATGCTAGAGTTCATCCATTGAGTTGGTTCAGTTATGTTTAATATTAGTTTAATATTTCAAACGTAGCAAAAATAGTTTATTAGTTACTTATAATATGTGGAGGAAAGTAATCAATAGGCTTCTTAGAATCACTCTGATTCCTGATCTAAACCCCATTCTTCAGTGAAATTGTTTTGATAATGTATACAATTTCAGAAATTTATATTTTTGCTTCTAAAATCTCAATGTATTTAGTTAAGAGAAATAAAAATAACTTTAGCTGACTTTATAATATATAAAGTTTATTTTAAACCTTTGCCTTTAAATGAAAAAAAATAATGTTATTAGAGGTTTTATACTTTTCTGTATGTAACATCAGGCTAATTTTCACTAGACTGTAAATATTCTAATATGGACAGGCAAATCAGTACTGAATATACAATATATTTTCTTTTCTATGGATTGTTCCTAAATTACATCAGTTTAGAACAAACACGCTTAATTAAAGCCAATAAATTCAGGTGTTCTATGATTGTTATACTTTTTTGTTTTCAATGAAAAATAGCCAGATCTGTTCACTGGGGCTTGTTGTAATTATGGATTTTAATGTGAATAAGCTATCATTTGATGTTCCACCAAGAAAATGTTTTTACATTTTAAAGAGCTTTAAGATTTGTTATTTGAGTTAGTGTCCTTTGAATAATGGCTGAGAGAACAGTTTTTTTTTCAATTACACAAGTATTTCTTCATCTATTTAGAGGCTCTGAGGTCAGACTAGATTAAAAATGCACACACGCATTTGTCTGAAGTAATGGTGGAAAATTACCTCCTTGGTGACTGCAGTGTGCAAGTTTGTGTGTGGTTTGGTTTCTAATCTTTCATTTCTTTCCAACATGAAAAAATAACCTTCCTCAGGCAAGAAAAAAACATTGTACTTGGGGAGTTGCCTTTGATCAAAGAAAGGGGTAATAGCTCTTTCCTGAAAATGGTGACAAGAATGAAAAATGGAAAGAAAGATCTATTTTAACTAGAAGTAATGATTTTGGGGGAGGAATAGGGAGAGTATATGTGAGGAAACAAGGAAGGAAACTGAGAGTAACAGTCACTGATGCCAGTTTGTGAAAGGGATGAGGCTGACCAACATGCCTTGAGGCCATATCAGAAAATTTTAGTTTTCATATAAAATATTTATATTTCCATCTTTTTTTCCTATGTTATGAGGGCAATCAAAAGAAGAATTTTGGCTTTGTACAGAATTTTCCTACATATTGATGAAGTAAAAATGCCAAGTATATTCACATTTTCAAGGTTTTACTGAGAATAAAGTTTATACCTAGAAATGATTTTAATACAAGCAATGGACTATCCTAGGAAAACAAAACGGAGAGAGATGGTCTAACAGGAATGATGTAGCAGAATTAACATAAATGCTGCTATGCTTTGGTTCTGTGTCCCCACCCATTATCACGTGTTGAGGGAGGGAAGTGATAGGATTATGGGGGGGTGGGTGGTTTCTCCCATGCTGTTCTCATGATAGCGAGTCTCACGAAATCTTTTGGTTTTAAAAGAGGCAGTTTTTTCCTGTGCTCCTACTTCCCTCTCTTCTGCCACCTTGTGAAGAAGGTGCCTGCTTCCTCTTCACCTTCCGCCATGATTGTCAGCTTCCTGAGGCCACCCCAGACATGCAGAACTGTGAGTCAATTAAACCTCTTTCCATTATAAACTACCCAGTCTCAGGCAGTTCTTGACAGCAGTGCAAAAACGGACTCATACAAATAGAAAAGATATTATCAATTTCATCCTCCCAAGAACTTTCATGTTTTCACTAGATTTATGAGATATATTTTTCAATCTCCTTGAAAATCAACACAAGCCCTTCGTTATCCAGTCTCATTATAAAATAAAGTATTTGTTTTATATTGGCACCATGACAATTTCAACTAAATTAATGGCTTCAGCAACATAAATTATTATCTCACACTTCTGCAGGTCTGAAGTCTCAGTGGGCTCAACCAGCTCCCCTGTTCAACATCCGGCAAGGTCCAAACGAAGGTGACAATCAACAGGGATCTTATTGGGAAGCTCTGGTAAAAGTACATTTCCAGATTTATTAAGGTTGTTGTCAGAATTTAGTTGTTTGCAGTTGTATCACCATTCCCAGTATCTTGTACAGTTGTACGTCATTGTTTTCTTGCATGTGTCAACTGGTGGTTGCTGGTGTCAGCTCCTAGTAACCTGTCTCCAGTCTTCCTATGAGAGCCTCTACATCGCAAAACCAGCAATGACGCCTCCGAACCTTCTCAGGCAGAATCTTTCTAATTTCTCCCTCTGCCAAGCCTCTCTTTCTCCAGCTGAAGTATGTTCTCTGCTTTTGGAGGTTTATATGATTAGATTGGGTTCACCTGGATACTTAAAGATGCTTGCCCTATCTTAAGGTTGGTAACCTTAGTTACAGCTGCAAAGTCCATTTTGCCATATTCACAGATTCCAGGAATGAGTATGTGGACATCTTTGGGAGGCTACTGTGCATACCGCAAATACTAATCTCACAATAATCTGTTTATATCCTATTTTTGGCCATTACTTCACTGAAATTCATACTCTGTATTTTGTTAAGTATTCACTCTCTGAGCTGAAGCACAGTAATACAGAAAAACCTAGATGATTCAAAATGAAAAACATTGATAGAGTAAAAAGAATATCAGAAATCATTGGTTTTTGAGACTAACGTGCGAAAGTTTACTTTTCCATATTTTTTGATAGTATTTTTCCTTGTTTTTAATTTTGGTATACTTTAGATCAGATGAAATGCACAATTTTTAAGTCATTATTCAATGACTTTTGATAAAAATATATGATTGAGCCACCCAAAGCCCATAGAACATTGACATTACCCCAGAAATTTCTCATGCCACTTAACAGTCAATTCCCGTCACCCTCCAGCCAATATTCTTGTTTCTATCACTACAGATTGATCTTGCCCTTTCTGAAACTTTATATGGGTGTGATCATACAATAAATACTTTTGGTGTCTTTTTTGGTAGTACTTTTGAGTAATTTTCAATTATTTGACTATATCACAGCTTTTACAACCCATTTTCCAATTTTGCGGGCCTTTGAGTTCTCTTCAGTTTGGGGTTATCAAGAATAACTATACTGTTATCTTTATTTCTGTTAGGCTTGACAGTATTTCATAATCATGTATTCTTAGAATAATTTGCAATTTATTTATTTAAGCAGTCTTATTGATTTTTAGGTAAATATATTTTTGTATTTAAATTTTAGGGTACATGTGCACAACGTGCAGGTTTGTTAAATATGTATACATGTGCCATGTTGGTGTGCTGCGCCCATTAACTCATCATTTGCATTAGGTATACCTCCTAATGCTATCCCTCCCCCCTCCCCCCACCCCACGACAAGCCCTGGTGTGTGATGTTCCCATTCCTGTGTCCAAGTGTTCTCATTGTTCAATTCCCACCTATGAGTGAGAACATATGGTGTTTGGTTTTTTGTCCTTGTGATAGTTGGCTGAGAATGATGGTTTACAGCTTCATCCATGTCCCTACAAAGGACATGAACTCATCATTTTTAATGGCTGCATAGTATTCCATGGTGTATATGTGCCACATTTTCTTAATCCAGTCTATCATTGTTGGACATTAGGCTTGGTTCCAAGTCTTTGCTATTGTGAATAGTGCCACAATAAACATACGTGTGCGTGTGTCTTTATAGCAGCATGATTTATAATCCTTTGGGTATATACCCAGAAATGGGATGGCTGGGTCAAATGGTAGTTCTAGTTCTAGATCCCTGAGGAATCGCCACACTGACTTCCACAATGGTTGAACTAGTTTACAGTTCCACCAATAGTGTAAAAGTGTTCCTATTTCTCCATATCCTCTCCAGAACCTGTTGTTGCATGACTTCTTAATGATCACCATTCTAACTGGTGTGAGATGGTATCTCATTGTAGTTTTGATTTAAATTTCTCTGATGGCCAGTGATGATAAGCATTTTTTCATGTGTCTTTTGGCTGCATAAATGTCTTCTTTTGAGAAGTTCAGTTCATATCCTTTGTCCATTTGTTGATGGGGTTGTTAGTTTTTTTTCCTTGTAAATTTGTTTGAGTTCTTTGTAGATTCTGGATATAAGCCCTTTGTCAGATGAGTAGATTCCAAATTTTTTTTCCCATTCTGTAGGTTGCCTGTTCACTCTGATGGTAGTTTATTTTGCTGTGCAGAAGCTCTTTTGTTCAATTAGATCCCATTTGTCAATTTTGGATTTTGTTGCCATTGCTTTTGGTGTTTTAGACATGAAGTCCTTGCCCATGCCTATGTCCTGAATGGTATTGCCTAGGTTTTCTTCTAGGGTTTTTATGGTTTTAGTCTAACATTTAAGTCTTCAATCCATCTTGAATTAATTTTTGTATAAGGTGTAAGGAAGGGATCCAGTTTCAGCTTTCTACATATGGCTAGCCAGTTTTCCCAGCAGCATTTATTAAATAGGGAATCCTTTCCCCATTTCTTGTTTTTGTCAGATATGTCAAATATCAGATAGTTGTAGATGTGTGTCATTATTTCTGAGGGCTCTGTTCTGTTCCGTTGGTCTATATCTCTGTTTTTGTACCAGTACCATGCTGTTTTGGTTACTGTAGCCTTGTAGTACAGTTTGAAGTCAGGTAGCGTGATGCCTCCAGCTTTGTTCTTTTGGCTTAGGATTGACTTGGCAATGTGGGCTCTTTTTTGGTTCCATATGAACTTTAAAGTAGTTTTTTCCAATTCTGTGAAGAAAGTCATTGGTAGCATGATGGGGATGGCATTGAATCTATGAATTACCTTGGGCAGTATGGCCATTTTCATGATATTGATTCTTCTTATCCATGAGCATGGAATGTTCTTCCATTTGTTTGTATCCTCTTTTATTTCATTGAGCAGTGGTTTATAGTTCTCCTTGAAGGGTCCTTCACATCCCTTGTAAGTTGGATTCATAGGTATTTTATTTTCTTTGAAGCAATTGTGAATGGGAGTTCACTCATGATTTTGCTCTCTGACTGTTATTGGTGTATAAGAATGCTTGTGATTTTTGCACATTGATTTTGTATCCTGAGACTTTGATGAAGTTGCTTATCAGCTTAAGGAGATTTTGGGCTGAGATGATGGGGTTTTCTAGATATATAATCATGTCATCTGCAAACAGGGACAATTTGACTTTCTCTTTTCCTAATTGAATACCCTTTATTTCCTTCTCCTGCTTGATTGCCCTGGCCAGAACTTCCAACACTATGTTGAAAAGGAGTGGTGATAGAGAGCATCCCTGTCTTGTGCCAGTTTTCAAAGGGAATGCTTCCAGTGTTTGCCCATTCAATATGATATTGGGTTTGGGTTTGTCATAAATAGCTCTTATTATTTTGAGATATGTACCATTAATACCTAATTTATTGAGAGTTTTTAGCATGAAGGGCTGTTGATTTTTAGGTAAATATTTTTTAAGATTACCTGCCCACAAACATAAACTCTCTATTGAGCCCTGCTTGTATTTTGATGGGCATATGCACATATACACTCAGAGTTGAATGTGGCTACTTTAAATGACTTCTTTCATTCTCATAAAATAATTAGCAGATTATCCAGTTTATAAACTTGATGACATTGCTATATAAGATACTGGAAAACAAATTCCATTATATAATATTTGCAGAGATAAGTTTTTGGAATTGATAAGCCACTTTTCCAGGATTTTTTTATGCTAGATACAGTTGTTTGGGTAAGGACATTCTTATAGATACCTGGCTTCATAACTGATACAAGCAATTTATCATAATATACCCACAGTTAATTTTTTTCTTCACTTTTGCCCTACAATGGGTGCTCTTAAATTCCTTTGTAATATCTTTAAAGGTACAGAAATAAGAAATGGAGAGAAAAATAAGCCTGAGAAGACTTTGGGCTCCAAAAATTTTTTCTCTTGGTAACCATAGCAGCTCATGACTCAATAAAGTGATAAAAAGACTTCATATTTTGGGGTTAAAAAACTTGTATATGTTAGTTTTTCTGACAAAGCTAATCAGATACGACAATTACTAAATCGGGATATTAAAACTATCATCTCAGGATAAGAACAATTACGTATTTTCCTGTTGAAACTTTAGATTCTTTGTTGTTGTCATTGTCCCTTAAGGAAAACCTATCTGTTCTTGTGCCCCAGTAACACTCCACATCTTTGGTAGATGTGAGTTTATATTTTTTATCACTACTCTTGTGCTTGAAGAGCATGCTTTAACATTCCTTGTAGTGCTTTTCTTGTGGTAATAAACTCTTTCACCTATTATTTTAACCTTATTAAAGTGTTACTTTTGCCTTTTGAAGATTATTTTCACTGGATATATCATTCTGAAATGACTTATTATTTCTTCTCTATACTTTAAATAATTTTTAGATTTTCATTTAGCTTATATTTGTTCTGATGAGAAGTCAGAAGTATTTTTTATCATTATTCCCTTTTCTATTACATGCCTTTTCTCCCACCTACAATTATGAATTTTAATTGTATGACTGTGTTGATATTCTACGTCTCTCCACTGTCTTTCTTATTTTCCTCTAAATCCTTGGACATATTTTAATACCAGCTTAAAAATGCTTGTTTTTATTCTTAACAACATCCTGGCTATCTAAGTTCTGTTTCTATTGCTTATTTTTCTCCTAATTTTCTCATAGGTTTCTGCTATTTTTGCATGTTTAATAATTGTTTTTGTTTCATATTTGACATTTTTCGTACTATATTATTTAGATTCTAGACTTCTGTCTTTGGTAGAAGTGTGTTGAATTTTATTTTGAGCAGACAGTTAATTTACTGGCACATTAGTTTGATCCAGTTGGTGCTTATTTTTAGGTTTTTAAGGCTGATTTAAGAGTATTTCTTCTGATAGGAGTAGAGGAGCCCTACTTTGGAAGCTGACTTTCCTGAGTCATTATTTAAACACTGGGAGATGCTCAGTGAGTCTTTTCACTTTGACTGGTTGAAACTCTAATGGCTTTCAACATTGATGAACCAGTGAAAGCCTCATTCCGCTCATGGCCCCTTAGAAACTGTTCTCTGTGTGGCCTTGTGAAATCTTACTCTGTGCATGCATAATATGTTGTTCACTCAAAAAATTCAAGAAGACTCATTTGTGGATTTTTAGATCTCTTTCTCAGTTCGACTCTTTCTTCTCTGGAATGTTCTTCATAAATTCCAGCCACCTCAGCTGCATCCTATAATCGGTTTCTCCATTCAGAAAAATTGCTGTGATCTATTTGGGCTCCTCTTTCCTTTCCTGCAGTTTGGAAGTATCCCTATATAAAAGGCCAGCTTTAAATGTGGAGTTGACTTCAAGGATCATGACTCTATGCTGTGTGTTGTACAATGCTTTAAAATGGGCACATGGTACATTTTGTCTAGTTTTATAGTTGTTTACAGCAGAAGATTCAGTCTGAAATCCATTATTTTATTATGGCCAGAACCAGAAGTCAAGCACTCTGTTTTTTAAAAAGCACATATTGTGTACCTGCTACCTTCCATGTACCATACCAGGTGTGTTCAAATACATAGTCAAGTCAGCTTTTACTATTTGTTGTTCCCCATGAAGGGCTTACATTTTATTTTATTTTTTTCAGAGAAAGGGCTTAGGCAGATTTTTATTCAATATCTATGCATTTGCTCATGCTGACTATTTCTGGTATATTTTTACATACTTCCTAAATACTGTTTGTCTTGCCAGATTTATGGCACTTCTTTTTTGCATGTTTTTCTAATTCATCTCCAAAATCAACCTTTCTCAACTTCATTTGTTCATAAGATATTTTTAAATTCACCTCTGTTATAGCATTTACCCTGTTGAATTATAGCTATCTCCGTATGTGTCATAAAAACCCAGCAAAATTTTAGGCTGCAACTTCCACTTCCTCTCTTTGTGACTCAGCTTGTCACAGTTACAAGTGCACATATTAGGCCATTTCTAAGAGTACATTGTACTGAATACATGCTACCTAATTTAACTCACATAATAACCTTGTGAGGTATATAGTATAATTATCATTATGTTTAATAAATGAATTGAGTCTCATATAAGTTATTTATTCTAGTTTACTAATGTCAGTGATAGAACTGAATTCTGAGTTCAAGCTCCATGTTTGCAACTCCAAATCTACTGATCATCACTATACCACATTTATCATGCATTGCCTTCACTCTTGTTAGCCTGACAAATAGGAAAATAATAAAATAATCCTTAAATGTCAGTACTATCTCATACAATTTCATATAACTCACACAATTTTAATCACAATTGAAAAGGTCTATAGAGCTTAATTAGTCTAACTCCCCATTCAATGGCCATATTTTCTCTACGGTATTCCTGGCCATAAGACTTTGTTTTGACCCTGCTGTTTGTGTCCCCCATCCCTTAAAGCAATCCATGTATGATAGTAATTATTAATTCCTTAGAGTAGTTTACATATGCCATCCTAAAACTTGTATTCACCATTTCTTTCTCCATCCTTAATGGCTGTATAAAATTTTTCCCCTTGGTCATTCATTGGCAAGCCCTCAGATATTTGAAAACAACTAATGTTGCCTTAAGTCCTCTTTCTTTCAAGGTAAGCATCTTTAGTTGCTTTTCTTTTCTCTTCTTCTTAGATTGGTTTCTACTGTTTACATCAGATATTTTCTGTTTGTGGACAAGATTTTAAGAAATGTAAAACTATGAAACATACTGTCCTGTATGATCATACTAATCTGTGGGTTATCATAATCTTAGGTGTTATTACCAAGCTTTTACTTTCCCTTTCCAAGATGAATAACACAGCAAGATGAATAAAGAAAATTTTCCCTCTAGTAAGTAGAAGAGTTAGATAACTATGATTTACAGATGAAAACCTAGGGCCAGAGCCTTCCTGTAGGATATTAGACTTCCTTTTCAGGACGTGGCCCCCTATAAAATATTTTTAAATTATCTGCACTCTTCCTTCAATTCTGTCACTCTGTTATGTCCTTTGAAAAGAGACAGTGAAGGAGTTATATTTGTAAATATGCCCCATATTTTTTCTGATCACTAGAATGCAGAGGTGAACATGAATTTTATGAGTCTGTAGAGTTAGGGAGTACATATTTTAAGTAATTAATTCTACAATATTAAAAATAGCTCTCACCATAAATCAACAGCTGAATGGTGGGAGTTGGACATAATGGAGAAAATATGGACTAAAGAGATTATGAATAGGTATTTTAGAGAATCCATATTTTAATTGGGTGAATTAAGTAAACTCTTGGATGGATTAAAAGGTTAGATTCTGGTTGGATGTGGTTTTCCCTAATGTTTCAGAAATATGTCAACTCCCGATTTACAACAAAGGCCCAAATTCACAAAAGGAGAAAGACACCTCCTTCCCTACCTAGTAGAAGAAACTAATATTGCCATCAGGCCATCCATATGCCATTATTATTTTATATTACTCAGATTATAATAGGCAGTGAACTTTCAATAATATATCACCTGATCTTTCATTGTTTATATCAGAAACCAGTAATCTTTCTCTGATAAAGAGTATCAGCCCATGAGCCAATATACCTGACAAATGTGTAAAGGCAGGAGCAGTGCCCAGGTGTCCCTGAGAAGTCTATCTCTGCCACTACTTTCTCAGGGCCGCGGAGGGTACATATCTCATGCAAGCACACACTCGCACTCACGTGTGTGCATGTTTACCCTCTGCATTAGCCCAATTCTCCATTCAACTTTAGTTTTGCCTCATATTTTGGGAGTTCAGATTAGAAAACTGATCTAATCCACCCACATTTCTGACATCTCTAAGCTTATATGGTATCAATGACTTCATGATCCTTTAGATTTATTTTTAATATCTGAGTATTTACTTTCAAGGGTTAATTAACCTTGGTGAAATCTTAAAATCTTCAGCTAAAGATATACTACATGACAGGCATACAACTTTGGAACTGCTTGTTATGAACCTACACAAGGTAAATTGGTAGTGGTCACATATTAAAGTAGCTGCTTGAACAAACCTTAATGGCACAGCTTCCATCTCAGGACTTATTAAGATCCAGTGGTTGCTTAAAGATAAACTAGTTTGTTTGCTATAATTTGTTGAGGAAATCACCATACAATATGCCATTAGGGTGCACATATTTCTTATAAGATACCTGTGGTAAAGCTCTTCCTGTCATCCTAAACTGGGGAACGTACTGAAATTAGCTTCATCATGAAAGTTTAGATGCAGCTGAAAATTCAGAGACAATTGCTTTATCTTAAAAGCTATTTTCACTTTTCCATTGCCACATTTAAAAGTTAAGGTTTATAGAGAAATATTCTCAAGTGATTATGGAACAAGTGCAGGAAAATAGAAGCATAAAAATATGTATTTCAAGGCATCAATTCTAATTCTGCTTCTAAAAATAGTCAGTGTGCATAGCTGCAGTTGCTGGGGTATTGCTTCAATGAAGCTGCATAGTCACCATCAACTACATTTTCAGGATCCACAATCTTCATATATATACTTTATTTTTTAATATTATAGAGGAAGACAGTGTAATAATTTGGTGGGAGCTTCCTCCTATGTATGATATAGGAAGGTAGACATATTAGCATCTGCCCGTGCTATGATGATCACAGGAACAATCTTGCAGCTGACAATGCCAAGAAATTACTGTCCTTGAATAACGTCAAGCTTTAAATTTTTGACTACTGAAATTTCAGTAACAAATATTGCAATCAAAATTGAATTTCATAAAACTTTGGATTCATTTTACAATAGTAATATTCAGCTTCAGGTGAATAATGACATTGATACTCAGCCTTTCAGTGTTCGGCCAAATATTTATTTGGTGTGTCTCTACTTTATATATATTTGCAGATTTTAAAATATTTTTTTCTGCTGTGTATCATCATAACTGATACATATACACAAACATACAAAATCTTATGAAAGGCAAATGCAAACATATACACAAAGAACATATTATAGGAAAATGTGAAAAAAGAAAACATTCAAAGCAGAGATCATTACATAAGATGACAAAACTCAAACTAAACATATCTTCACTGTTATATGTAATGAAATAAAATTTATAATTAAAGTAAAAGACTTATATTGGACAAGAAAAAATGTGTTGATAATTCTGTTAGCTCCACCCAAATCCTTTATCTGACTTTCAGTTCTCTGTTCTGTGCTCCAGGAGGTGAACTCCCAAGACTTTATCATTCAGGTTCCTCTGCCAGCTAGCTCCTAGTTGAATTGGATTAATGTAAGGCACTGGCAGTGGGTCAGATGGCAGAAAGAGAGAAAGAGAAATCCTGATATCTATACCCTGCTTTCTTCCTAATTCTGCATGAATGTAGTTTCTACCAGATAACTCTTCTCCACAGCAACAGATCTTTCTAGGCTTCAATAATGCAAATTATATACCTTGTCCCTTCAGGTCTAGGGATGGTAACAGCGTTTCACTGTTCCTGGTGTCTGAGTATTACAGCAACCTTTGCTGGGGTTTTAAATCCTGCTCTAACTGAGGTAAGTAGTCCATTCACCAAAGTCTCTATTGTGGACTATTGAAGCAGATTTATTTTTCTTTTCTTTCTTTCTTTTTTAATAATAGTGATGGGGTCTCCCTATGTTGCCCAGGATGGTCTTGAACTCCTAGGCTCATGTGATCTCCCACCTTGGCCTCCCAAAACGCTGGGATTAGAGGCGTGAGCCACCATACCAAGCCTGAAGCAGATTTCTGTTTTATACAAGGGTCCTAATTAATGTAGAAGCTATTACAAAATGGGGTATGTAAGAATATCTCTTTCTTAGGGCATAACCTTGTACTGCCTACCACACAGAAAGAGCAGAATGACTGAGAGGCTTCTCTGGATTTTGGAAGTAACATGACTACAGTTGTGTGCATTCAAACCTATTACAGGCTAATTCACAAGTCTACCCATTTAGAAAAAAGAGCTCTTTGCAGCAGGTTCAGTCTGTGCTGTAGGCTCCTCTGCTGCGTGGGTATTTTGACTCAGTAGATCTAAGTATCTGGCTTAGAGTAATGCTGTTTGACTCTTCTAAGTAACCCCAAGAAGACAATCATAGTTCACCTAACTAATAATTTTGGAACAAAACTATGTCCCCTTCTGCCAAATATTTTTATCTATTTAAGAAGTCTGGCTTGTCACCATGTAACTATGTGATTTGAAGGGTTCACAATCAACTGGGTGCTATCCATGTTATCAAATCTTAAAATTGTGCTTGGAAATTAGCAGGTTATTATAAAATGGAATTGATATGGGTGACATTAAGGCTGAACAGGAAGGGGAGTCACAAGTATATTGAATGAGCAGGTGGTTCAGACCTTTATTAGCTATTCCTGCTTAGTTATCAAATTTTCCTCAACTCTCATTCATATTCACCAGGGGAATCCCCTAAAGAGAAGGTGCTCAACAATCAGGTAGGTTATGTGTCTGATCTTTCCTGTGGATGTCTATCAAGCTTTCTCCCAGTGATACTGGTGCTTACTTAGTGGAACCATGCAAAAAGTAATCATAGTTGCATGGATGGTTAATATGCATGAACTCAACACAATGGACTACCCTTTAGCAACCCTGATCTGTCTACCATCACTGAGTGCCCAACTTGTCAATACCAAGGGCCAATGTGTTCCTGATATGGCACCATTTCATAGGGACACCGACCAGGCACCTGGTGCCAGGGTGATTACATTGAATCCTTTATATTGTGGAGTAAGCAATCATTTGTCCACATAAAACCAAATACACATTCTAGAAATGGGTTTCTCTTCTCTGCCATCAATGCTTCTACCAGTGTCACCATATGTCACCTTATAGAATGCCTTATTCATTGCCATAACATCCCATACTACATTGCCTTTGACAAGGAAACTCATTTTATAGCAAAACAATTGTTACAAAAGATCCATGCCCATGAAATTCATCTTTCCCCACATGTCCCATCACCAGTAAGCAGTTGGCCTGATAGAATGATGGAACAGCTTCCTAAAGGCTCAGTTTCAATGCCAGGTGTGACACAATATTGTTTGAAATTGTGGTGCTGTCCTAACAGATTAAACTATTAACCAATACATAAGCCATATTTCCAAAAGCCAGAATATGTAGGATCAGGAACTTAGAAGTAGAATTATTTTACCTAATATTCTATTTACAGAATTTTATTTCCCTTCCTGGAATCTTGTATTTAGTAGCCTTGGAGGTTCTCTTTTCCAAGGAAGGAACATTTCTTTCAAGAAATATAGCTATGTTTCCATTAAATTTGGACCTGAAATTGCACCCTTGCTATTTTTAGCTCCTAATGCCATTGACCTAACTGGCAATAAAGAGTTTAACTATAATGAATGGATTGATTAATTCTGATTAACAGAGGAAAATTAGGCAAATAGGCCTAGCTGGAATCCAGGAGATCTGCTGTGGAGCCTTTTAGCACTTATATGTCCCATAAAGAGCCACCAAATAAAGACAGTATCACTAGGGACTTTGATCTTATGAAATGAAGATTTGGGTCATCTCATGAGACAATAATTCCTGTACTACAGAAGTAGTAAAGTTTGCTTGAAAATGGAATGGATAATAGAAAAAGGAAATTATGATGATAAAATTTAGGCTCATGACCAAAAGTGAAAACAGTAGTAGCTAATTTACATATTTATGTTAACTGAATATTTCTTTCCCCTCACTCTCCTTGCTATCTCATATAAAGAGTACTAATAGTGGGTGACATTAACATTCATAATCCTGTTGGGAATAAGACTGAATTGCTGACACCCTCCCACAATTTAAATTATGCTAGGACTGTGGTTTCCCTGTACTGGAGATCCAATTTTCTTAATCTAAGCAAGAGGCAAGAATGAATGCGAAGTCGGAGTAATGTTCTGGTAAGTTTTTATTGACTTCATGGATTTATTTTCTTCCCTTGTCTAACTTGTTCTGTGCTCATGGATGCAGAGCCATGCAGTCAACATCATTCAGATTCCTTTGTTGCCTGAATTTCAGCAGAAGGCACTCAGTGGGAGGCTCCTCTAGGGTTCAAGTTAGGTGGAGAGGAGAATGGGTTATTTCTTCCCTGATTCCCTCTGCTTTGGTTCTGTGCTTCTGCCAGGGGCTGAATCTCTCCATAACTAGAACTCCTGCTATGCGACCTTTCCTTGCAGCTCCAGAACTCACTTAGCTCTGTTAATGCTATCATTCCTCTTGTCCCTTTATGGCTTCCTGTGGTTGATGTCTTTGTTCCTCTGCATCTCTCTTTCTCTCTTATTTTTTTAACCCTAGCTACATCTCCGTAAACAGACTCTTTAAGTTCTTGACAGTGGAAACTCTGAGAGGGATCATGATTCCTTCCAGGATTACATTCAGTAACAAAGCCAATGATTTATTGCATACAAGCAACAACTCTAATAAAAATTAACTCAAAAGCTTGAAAGTGAAGCTTTGGGCAAAAGAATTACAGGCAAATGGAAATTAAAAAAAAAGACAAAGATCACAATATTTAGAACAAATAGGTTTTATTCGTGTTGGTAAAAAATATGAAGGAGGACAAAGGCACTTTGTATCAATAAAAGGTCACTATAAATAAATAACTGTCATAAATATTTATTAAATATGTATGCAAAATTCAGAAAGCAAAAACTTCAGAAGCATTTTTTAAAATACAATTTATAATACTATTTTTTCAGCTGATGGAAGATCAAGTGAAAAAACATAAGTGAGATTTAGGAGGACATAAGCAATTAATGGAGGATAACTAATATGTGTATATTTATTCAAATACTCATGGAATAATAGTCAAAGTGGACAAAGTATTGGGCCTCAATGAAAACCTTAGCATATTCCAAAAAGTAAAAATAATGTATAATTTAGTCCATGATGACAATGTAATCAAACGGGAAATTATTTCTGGGAAGTGATATTGCCTGCAATTGTTAATTTCTACATTTTGAAAAATAATTATTCTGTTATTTTGTTCAGTAAACATTGTACTTTTTTATAGGTAAAATATCAAAATACTCAAATATATACAAAAAGTTCATAATATATAATTTTAAAAATACCATACAAATATCAAACTTAGAAGAAGCAAAAACAATTGTAGCTGTGCTAATAGCCCTCAATGAGTTCAGAATTTTATAATTAGATATTAAAAGGAGGGTAAGAAGTACATGTATAGTAACTGGACAGTGCACAGCCACAAGTTGGGTATAGCCCTATAAATTGTCTATTTTAAAGTATACATATATAGTAATTTGCTATTCAGAAATGTTGAATCATTTAAACATAATTTTATTATTAAAGAAAGAGTATATGTGCATCAGAGAATAGTTTTTAAATGCAGAGGAGCAAAATGTGTTGAAATAGTCCTATAAACAAGAAAGCACCATTGTTAGTATCTTTGCCTCTAGCCTTACATATTATTTTTCATCAAATATACACTTTGTAACCTCTTTTTCAGTCAATAATTTTCACATTTTTATTTTCATGCATTTTCATTATATATAATGTCCATGCTGTATTTAGATGTCTTTAATTAATTAAACATTTTTCTTTAGGGCTGATTTCTTTAAACCAGTCTCAGTGCAGTCCCGCTCATTATATCTAATTGTCCACCCCTTAATTTTTTTTTTTAAATCTAGAATTACCTCCCTTTTTAAATGGTACTGACTTGTTGAAGGAAAGAGGCCAATTGACCTACAAAATGGCATACCTTGAGGCTTTGCTTGATTGTTTTCTGTGTCTAAATTTACACCTAATGCCTTAATGGTTGCCAGTTAAACACGCTTGACTAGAATAAATCACAGGTGAAATTTTGTACCTCATGTTGTACTACATCAGAAAATTTGTAATGTCAGGTTGACCGACAGTTGAGACAGTAAAAGTGATCATTGGTTTGTGTGATATCTGATATCTGATACTGATGTCGTCCTTCAGTTAGATTGCCCCTTTTGCAAGTATGGGATGCTATGAAAGTCTACTTCCCTATGAGCTTTCACTTAATGAATTTTAGCAGCAATGTTTCTCTTTCATAAGCTTCCACTGAAATATAATATAATTGAATTGTGCAAATCATAATTGTATAGCTCAAGGAATTAGTTCAGAGTGAACACACCCATGAAACTATCAACCTGGGTCAAGAAACACTCAAAGGACACATAGGAGGCTCCTCATGCCCCAAACACATTATTTCCCTCTCCCTTCTCCCAAAATGTAACCACTCTCCTGATGTCAAATGGCAAAGAATAATTTACCCCCTATAAATAGACTAATACAGAATGTTTTTGTATTTGTTCCTCTTGTTCAAAATTATGATCAAAATTCACAGATGTTATTGTGTGTATCTTTATCATATTCATTTTGATAGATGTAAAGTAGTACAATCTATTCATACAGCACTATTTATTCTTTCCTGTCTTGCTAGACATTGCTTTCCTTCTGTGGCTAAATAATCAATTTGTGAACATTGTTATAAGTTTCTATTACTGCATATGTGCATACAATTCTGTTGAATGCATACCCACAAATGAAATTATTGGATCATACAGGACGCATGTGTTCAAATGTTGTAGATAATATGAAATTTGTTTCCAAAATGGTTGTTCGAAATTCATCCTGATAGCATAAGAGATTTCCAGTTGCTTCAAAACCACATCAACACTTTAAATTATTTTCTATCTTTTAACTTTTCCAGTGAATGTATAGTATTTCTCCCGATGGACTTAATTATTATTTAAGGACAAGTGAGGTTGGATGTCTTTTAAAACGTTTATTAGATATTTGTATAACCTCTTTTGTAAACTGCTTTTTCAAAATATCGCCCATATTCCTATTGAGTGGCCTCTCTTCTTATTGTTTGAATTTTTATGTATTCTGCATATAAGCCATTTGTCAATTATATAAACCACAAATAATCTAGTTTCACTTGCTTTTGCTCTCTTATTGGTGCCTTTTTAGAGAAGAAAACACTTTTTAATTTTAATACAGTTGAAATCATTAATGTTTTTCATATCCTGCTTAAGAAACCTTTGCCTTTCCAGGACCTGAAGATATTCTTTATTATCTTATAAAATTATTGCTTTTCCATTCCTGTTTAGATCTATGTGAATGAAATGGTTTTGTGAATGAAGGGAGGTAAAAATCTAGATTCCTTTTTCCATACCGATACAAGATTCTATACTGTTATATTGGTCTATCTATGCTTGTGATATTTACCTTTCTTCATTACTATGGTTTGTATTATAGCCTTGATATCTGGGACTGTAAGTACTTTGTTCTTTTTTGAGATGTTAGCTGTTCTTAGCTTTTTGCATTGTCATCTAAATTCTAGAAGTCACATGTCAATTTTTGAAGATAAAGAAGCCTCTTGGAACTATGATTAATATTGTAATCAACAGATGAATTTAGGAAAATGGACATCTTTATAAATTTAAGTTTTCAATTTATGAACACATTCTATCTCTTGATTTATTTAGGTTTCATTCAATGTTACCCAATAAAGTTATATAGTTCTGTAGAGATTTTGCATATATTTAATTAAATTTATCTCAAGTATTTGATGTTTTGATGCTGTTCAAAGGGGTATCTTTTTTTATATTTTAATCTTCTATTTATTGTGTAAAGAAATACACATTTTAAAATATTGATCTTATATCAGAAACCACACAAAACTGTGATATTAATTCTAATAATTAAGTAGAAAATTATCTTGGACATTTCATAAACACAAATGTATAGTGTGAAAATGTGAGTGGCATTTTACCTTTCTGGTCTTTATTCTTTACTCCTTGCCATCTTGCACTGGCTATGAATGGATTAGAATAAAGTGGGATGGAGTAATGATAATAAGTAATCTAGCCTCATATTTTATCTTGCAGACAAAATGTTTAACATTTCACATTATGAAGGATTTTGCTGCAGATTTTTTTCTTTTTTTGAAGACTATGTTTATCAATTAAAATGCTACAGTTTGCTGAGGTTTTCAATTCTAAAAAATACTATTATCAGAGATTTTAGACAATCATCTGATTTTTCTTTTTATTCAGTAGTAGATTGCACTAATAGACTTTTAAATGTTTTTGGCAAATTTGAGCAGAAGGAAGATAACCTTTCAAACACGAAATTTGCAAGAAAAGTATAAGAAACCACAAAGTATTTTACTGAGATTTTCAGATTCGCCAGTTGTTTATGTTTTGCGCCATTTATTTATGATTTTCCTCCTCTCTCATTCTTCTCTTTTTTTAATTATTTAAGACTAATATGTCAAATTTGCCCTTCTACCCTGTTAGGGTTTCGCTGTGTCCCCACCCAAATCTCATCTTGAATTCCCACATATGTGGGAGGGGACCCAGTAAGAGGTAATTGAATCATGGGGGAACGTCTTTCCCATGCGATTCTCATGATAGCAAAGAAGTCTCAAAAGATCTGATGATTTTATACAGGGGAATTTCCCTGCACAAGCTCTCTTCTCTTGTCTGCCACCATGCTAGACACGGCTTTCACCTTCTGCCGTGACTGTGAGGCTTCCCTAGCTACATGAAACTGTGAGTCTATTAAACCTCTTTTCTTTTGTAAATTGCCCAGTCTTGGGTTTATCTTTATCAGCAGCATGAAAACGGACTAATACATACCCCCAAATGAATCAATTTGACTTTCTAAAAAAGGACATCTCCCTATAACCAAAGTATAATTATCAAAATCAAAAAAGTCTACTCACTGATTTTTTAACGTTAAAACATCCTTACATTTCTGGAATTAAAGGAAGTGTGTTAGTCTACATTAGACTTTTAAAATATGCTACTGAATTTGTTTAAAAAATATTTACATAAGATTTTTACTTCAATTTGTATATGAAGCCTGGATTGTGTTTTTCTTTCATGTACTGCCCTGTAAGATTTCCTATCAAGATAATGTGGCCATCATAAAATGTGTTGAAAGGGTTTCTGCAATTACAGAAACTAAGTGTTACAGAACTCTAAGTGTTATAAAAGAATTACTATTCCATTATTAAATCTTTAGAAGAATTTTCAGGCAAATCCTGGCATGGACTATTCCAAAATTGAATATGTTAAATAATTAATTTCATTAATGTAAATCAGATTACTCATATTTTGTTTTTTTCCAGTGTCTGCTTTAGTAAGTAGTATTTTTCTTAGAATTTGTCCATTTTTTTCTAAATTTTCAAATCGTTGCCAAAATTTGTTCATAATATCCTTAAATAAATTTTAAAAAATCACATGTATTGATGTATAATTTACATTCATTAGAATTTACTCTTCTTAGACATCCAGTTTGATGTTTATTGATAAATTACATTCATTAGAATTTACCCTTCTTAGATATACAGTTTGATCATTATTGATTAATGTATATAATCATATAACTACCACTGCAATCAATATACAGAATACTCCCATCACCCCCATAAATTCCCTCAATTTCCTTTGTATTAAGTCTCCAACCCCTACTTATATACCCTGGCAACCACTGATCTGATTTGTCTCTATACTTTTGCCTTTACCAGAATATCACATAAATGGAGTGAAACAGTGTATTGCCTTTCATGTATTTTGCAAAATTATGTTCTTTCATGGATTTTAAGTTTCTTCTTTTTAAATTGCTAATGTTAACCTACTATCTCTATATAGAAAACTTTGTTTATCACTAGCTGATTGATGTACATTTGAGTTGTTTCTAGGTTTAAGGTATTGTGAATAATTTACATAGAGGGATTTACATGAACTTCCCTTGCTCCCTTTTTTGGGGGTAAATTCTTAAGAGAGGACTTTCTGGGTTGTATATAAGAGAATGTTTAAAATGATAAGAAACTTCCAAACTGTTTTCCAAAGTTGCTGTATCATTTTGCATCCCCTCTAGCAAATTGAGAGTTTTGTGGTCCACATCCTCACTATCACTTGATACTTTCAGTTGTCTATAATTTTTAAATTTTAGCCAATTTAGTCATATGTGTAGGGGCATCTCATTGTGGATTTAATTTACATTTTTCTAGTGAATAGTAATGTTGGTCATTTCATATGCTTACTGCCCATTTGCATATCTTCTTTGGTGAAGTGTTTGCTCAAATGTTTCCCTACTTTAAAATTTTAAAAATTTAAAATTATTTTATATTCTGCTAATATTTTACAACTGAAGTTCACAAAACACTGAAAGGGTTAATTCAGACACACTGGCAGAAACTGCAGTCTCTGATAATCTATATATATTACTTACCAATAATTGGTACAGAGTTGTGATTAATGATTAAAAAGCCTGAGAAAGAACTAGGACAAAGCACTTCTGAGCCTTTAGGTAACTTATTTTCTTGGACTGGATTTGCCAAAACAAAATTGATCTTTGGCTATATGTTTTTGGTCATATTTCAAAGAATAATATCTTTAGGAGATAATTCCAAATATCCAGAAAAATGCTTATCTCGAAGTCTACTTCTGAAACTTTAAACTTGACCCAACCTCCCATATATCTTTTCCAGGCAATTACTTTGACTTTCTCTAATTCATTCTCTAGTCAGAATCTTAACCTTTGTTTTTTTTTTCTTTTCCCCAGCTTTCTTGAACTAATAGTATCTATGAAACATATTCTTGGAAAGCAAAGCAAACAAAGAAACACACAGTTAACCAAAAGTTAACAATTTGATGAACAATATCATGGCAAAAGTTAGAATACCATCCCAGTAGTATGCTTCTGTTGTTTGTTTGCAGATCTAATGAAATCATAACATACGACTCTCAGAAAACAACAAGGTAAAGATGGCTTCTTAAAGATGTCCTAGACTTAACAGCAATAAGGTTCTAGGTAGGAGACTGGGTCCAATTGCTTTTTAACTTAATCCCATAAGATTTTATCTTTATTAGAAGGAATCATATTTTTTAAATGGTAGTTAAAAACAGGTAAGAAATGAGCGATTATTACACAACAGTGCACTCTATTGTATGTGATAAATGACTCTCTTTTGAACTTAACAGTCTGAATTAAAATACGACTATTTCATTAATCAATATGATATTTAAATCACCAAATTAAAAATGATCACTGTGTGTTAAAATTGTCTCTGATGACACTTCACTGTGCAGAACATGGTACTTACTTTGAGAAATCAGCTATTCCAAGGTATTTGGGCAGTTACAATATTTTATCAGGTAAATTACCTGTCACCATCAACATTCATCACAGACTCATTTGGATTTTATTACAGATTGACATTTACTTATTTGCCCAACTTTTAAAATTACAACTGTTGCACGATTGCCCCAGGGTGCAACTGTAGAAAATTAGCACACTAATTACATTAATCATCATAAATAAAAGGTTATCAAAGAGTAGCATGTAATAACATAGCATTTTTTAAAAGCAACTTAGGGCATCCCGATAATACCTTAAATTTAGGTATTACATTGAAATTTTCAAGACTGCTTTACCTCTATAGTTTTAATCTTTAACACCTCAGCTACAGGAATGTTATTGTTAATGCCATTTCAGAAATGAAGCCACAGCCAGAACAGCTCTGTGATCGCCCTAAGATCATACACAGCTGCAAGAGTTAAAGGTCAAGTCAAAAACCACATTTCCTAAACTTCCAACTTTCCATTTTTTGCCCCTATATTTTTCTGCCTTTTAGGGATGAAAAGTAAAATATTTATCTTTTATGCTCCAATGTGTCAACACTTTAAGTGAACTAAAGATCCAAAAGTGAGTCTGATCTGCTTGCTTTTTCCCACCTCTATTGCTACCGACCTAGTCAAGCAAACATCATCTTTCCTCTCAAGTACCTGTAACAACTCCCTTCCTCCTTGCCCCATAAAAATCCATATTATACAGAGATACCCAACTGATTTTAAAATATAAATAAGATCATGCCTTTTTTTTGCTTAAAATGATCTGCGGAATCTCAACATACTGGAATAAAATCTAAATCACCAAGTCCTATAAAATTCATGTAATCTGAACCCCTCTCCCATTTCATCTCCTATCACTCTGTATCCCCTCATTATTCTGCTATTTTTGTCTCATTGTTGAGCCTATTGCCAAGATTGAGCCTGCCTCTGAGTCTTTGTTCTTCAATTTTACTCTGTTTGGAATGTTCTACCCCCAGGTTTCTGCAAAACTGGTTTGAAATTCCTACTCCTTAAAGAGATTTTCTTAAATAACTGAACCTAAACTGACCTTTCCTCTTTCTCCTTCTTTCCTATAGCCTATCCTCTAGTCATTCCTTATCACATTCTGTTTTATTTTTATGCCATTTTTCTTTGCTTTCAGAAGTTATCAACTCCTACACCTTAGAAGTCCACAGAAGAGTTTGTGTATCTTGATTACTACCTGTAACAGAAGCTATGCATTCTTCACTCCTATCTCTAAAGGCTGCTCTGGAAATCACCTGCAACTTCAGTTGATGGTTCTCATATATTCTAAAGAGCTTTCTATCTCAAAATCTTTCAGCCTGAGGCCATTCTCTGAGTATTGTTCCTAGCAGACAAGAAATGCCAGGAAGTTAATGGCTCCAGGTGTTAGGATGGTGCAAAATTAACTGTGGGTTTTGCTGTTAATACAACCTTTAGTCCATAGATAAAATCAGGAAATTACTATGTACATGGCTCCTTCATTCCTCAGGTGGCCAATTATAAAGCTGTGTTCGACATCTTTTACAGTCTCCAGCATGACTGAACCCTAGCTGCCCACAGTAGAAACCAGCTTATTCCTGTGCACTTCATTGCCTTTCATTTCTCTATTTTGTTGTTAAATAAAACAAAATCACACCCACTTCCCTGTCCCCAGTGCCTGATTGAACTCATCATACATACTATTGTACTCTTCCCTGCTCTTTGTTTTCAACATTTTCCTTCCCCACTGTCTTGTCTTGTCTCCACTAATAATCTTCTTTCTATAACTTCCTTCTCTAAGCCATATGCTTTTATCTCTCACCAATGTCCTGGATCACTGTCTTGAAGGTGGTTATCTCCACATGACATTTTGGTCTCCAAGTTTCTATAACTAATACTGCCCTTCATCCCTTCAGGCCTAGAGAAGGTAACAGTTGCAGGGTACATACAGAATTATCCCTTTTGGTTTCTCTATACACTATCTACAGCTTTTAAATTGCTCTTTTATTATATTGTATTCAAATTAAACAACTTAAGTGTATTGTGCATTTTCCCTAGTACACTCATAGGTACCATTTGTACATTCAGGTTTTAGTGTATATTCAAAGAGTGATTTTCCTTTCTTTCTTCCTATGAGATTTTTCACTTCTTTCTTGAAATTTGCTTAAAGAATACAGCATATCCAGGTTTTAGGGGAAAAGAGACTCAGCACTGAAAACAATAATACTTTGCTATGCACTAAATTCACAAGAACAATTTTTCTTTGTCTATTTCTGCTTCTTTTTTAATTCGTAGAGAAACCACTTTTTGTCTGATGTCTCTTCTTTCTTCAGAAACCTTATTTTTGTTATAGCTCAAAGCAAACCTCTCGGGCTTCTCTTTTGGAGGCAAACCTTCTCTTTAGAGTAAGATAAAGAAATTGTACTCTTATTTACTTCTCTTCAGTTTTATTTTATTTTATTTTATGAGGAATTAAATGTATAGAGGGAAATATACACATATTAAAGGTATAAACCCATGTGACACACATCTTAATCTGAACACGAAACATTTTTTTCACCTCATAAACTTCTCTCATGCCCCTTTCCAGTCAGTATTGCTGCAACCTAAGGCAACTGGTGATTTGGTTTCTGTCACCATAAGTTAGTTCTGCCAGTTCTTGAACTTCATATGAATGAAACCATAGCACATGTAATCTTTGGGTCTATCTTCTTTCACTCAGTGTAAAGTTTTTGAAATTTGTCTGTTGCTGTGTGTCTTGATAGTTTGTTCTCTTTTGTTACTGAACAGTGTTGAGTAAAAGAGTCAAACTCTGTAAAATATTTGGAGAGATTTATTCTGAGCGAAATATGAGTGACCATGGCCTGTGAGACAGCCCTCCTCAGGAGACCCTGAGAAAATGTTCCCAAGGTGGTTGGAGTTCAGGTTGATTTTATACATTTTAGAGTGTTAAAACACACTAAATATGGCCTGAGAAGGACTCCATACTTCTATATTTGAATCTTTGTGGACAAATTGCAACCTAACTTAATAGGTAGACAAGATTGAAAAACCTAACTTAAGATTATGCACCTATAACAATACCTGAGTGTTGGCCAATCCCAGCAGCCATACTTCAACCACTCTTACACTACTGAGTGTTCAAACTGTGTTCAACTGAGGCAAATGCTAAGCTGTAACCAATTCAGTTGTTTCTGTACCTCACCTCCAATTTCTGTGCCTCATTTCCCTTTTTATGTCTGTAACTCTTTCACCACATGGCTGTGCTGAAATCTCTCTGAATCTGCTGTGATTTCAGGGACTGCTCTATTCATGAATTTTTGATTGCTGAATTGAACTTCTTTAAATTTAATTCAGCTGAAGTTTTTCTTTTAACAGATGGTGTCAGAAGAGGGATCTGAAGTAGAGCCTTAACAATCCCCAGGACTGCTGAGTGAACAAGCAAGGTACCTGCAAGGACCTACTTTTGTCCCTTGATCTCTCAAAGTGGCTGGGGATCACGGGTAAGTTCTCTCAGATTTCAGAACTCCATGGATTTGTGTTTGGAATTCTCTGAGTTTCTCTGAACAAATTTGTGATCCAAACAGTTTGAAAGTCAGGACAGAAACTGAACTAGGTACAGGTTCAGATTAAATCTGGTAATTAACTGACTTGGATCCAGCTGGAGGACTCTCTCTCTCTTTATTTATTTATTTATTTTTTTTGAGATGGAGTCTTGCTGTGTCACACAGGCTGAAGTAGAGGGGCATGATCTAGGCTCACTGCAACCTTTGCCTCCTGGGTTCAAGAAATTCTCCTGCCTCAGCCTCCCAAGGAGCTGTGATTACAGGTGTCCACCACCATACCCAGCTAATTTTTGTATTTTTAGTTGAGACATGGTTTCACCATGTTGGCCAGGCTCGTCTTGAACTCCTGACCTCAAGTGATCTACACACCTGGGCCTCCCGAATTGCTGGGATTACAGACGTGAGCCACCATGCCTGTCCCAGTTAGAGGCCTCTTACCTTTGGCTGAGACAGAAAGAAAATGTTAGTAAATGGTAATATTGCAGTGGTTGTAAAATTTGGCTTTTAGAAATGCACAGGGATTCTTGAGTTCTACCCCTTCATTTCATTTTTCTTGTGTACATAGGTAGAAAAAAATTATTGGCTAAGTCAATCAAGGGAACCTAAGAGTAAAGCCAATATCTTAGGTAAAAATGGGATCCTTACTTTTTGAAAGTCTGAGTTTCTTCCATCTTTTTATTTTTTATTTTATTTATTCATTATAATTATTATTATTTTGAGACGGAGTCTCTCTCTGTCACCCAGGCTGGAGTGCAGTCGCGCAATCTCAGCTCACTGCAAGCTCTGCCTCCCGGGCTCAAGTGATTCTCCTGCCTCAGCCTCCCAAGTAGCTGGGATTACAGACGCGTGCCACCACGACCAGCTAATGTTTTGGATTTTTAGTAGAGACGGGTTTTCACCGTGTTAGCCATGATGGTCTCAATCTCCTGACCTTGTGATCTGCCCACCTCGGTCTCCCAAAATGCTGGGATTATAGGTGTGAGCCACTGCGTCTGGCCTAAAGAAACAGAGTTTTATTACTTTATCAGCTGAGTTAGCATTACAGTGGCTTACGAAGCATTTGCCATTGTTTGAGGTTGCAGTGAGGACAATATGAAACACCTGATGAAAAACCTTCACAAAACCTGGTCTCTTTCCAACAGCTTAGCTATGTGAGAATAGCTTTTATAACATGACAACCCTAAAAATAAAACCATTTTAAACTTCAAGCTGTCCTTCCAGTTGCTGTTTCAAACTTTATCCCAAGAACTGAGGTGTCGTTCAGTAAAAGGCAACTACAGGCTTCTCAGCAGTAAGGCTAAGTACTTGTTTTATGTTTTCTGGTGATGAATTTATTTCTTGTCTTTAAGTTTACATTGACAGCTATAAAAGTGATTGTCAATAGTATTAGTATAATTTAATTACTAATAGAATGTGTTTTCCATGTATGTTTTAGTCAGAGCTATGATTTTCTTAATAATACCAGAACTTATTTTGCGCTCTATGATGATGATATTAGTGATCTGTATTCTCAGCAGTATTTTACAGTGCTTCAGACTATTAATACACTAATCTGTGTTTTTGGCTGGGTGTTGTGGCTCACGCTTGTAATCCCAGCACTTTCGGAGGCTGAGATGGGTGGATCACTCAAGCTCAGAAGTTCGAGACAAGTCTGAGCAACATTGTGAAACCCCCTCTTTACTAAAAATACAAAAATTAGTTGGGCATGGTGGTGGGCACCTGTAATCCCATCTAGTTGGGAGGCTGAGACAGGAGAATTGTTTGAACCCAGGAGGCAGAGGTTGCAGTGAGCTGAGATCCCACCATTGCACTGCAGCCTGGGCAAAAGGACAGAAACTCCATCTCAAAGGAAAAAAAAAAGAGTAAATAGTAAGATCGGGTATGATGGCTCATGCCTGTAATCCTAGCACTTTGGGAGGCTGAGACGGGTGGATCACCTGAGGTGGGGAGTTCGAGACCAGCCTGACCAACATGGAAAAACCCCGTCTCTACTAAAAGTACAAAATTAGCCAGGCTAGGTGGTGCATGCCTGTAATCCCAGCTACTGGGGAGGATGAGGTAGGAGAATCACTTGAACCCGGGAGGTGGAGGTTGCGGTGAGCCATGATCACACCATTGCACTCCAGCCTGGGCATCAGGAGCGAAACTACATCTCAAAATAAAATAAATAAAAGAAAGAGTGAATAGTATTCCTTTATGTGTGTGTGTGTCTGTGTGTGTATGTGTATATATATCACATTTTCTTTATCCATTCATCTAATGCTGGCCTCCTAGGTTGCTTTCATATCTTAGCTATTATGGATACTGCTGCAGTGAATATGGTAGTGCAGTTATCTCTTCAGTATGCTGATTTCTATTCCTTTAGCTATATACCCACAGGTGGGATTGCTGGAACATACAGTAATTCTATTTTTAATTTCTGATGAATCTCCATGTTATTTTCCTTAATGGCTCTATTCATTTATGTTGGGAAATATAATTACTTTTTTTTTTTTTGAGACGGAGTCTTGCTCTGTTGCCCAGGCTGGAGTGCAGTGATGTGATCTAGGCTCACTGCAAGCTCCACCTCCTGGGTTCACACCATTCTCCTGCCTCAGCGTCCCGAGTAGCTGGGACTACAGGTGCCCACCACCTGCCTGGCTAATGTTTTTTGCATTTTCAGTAAAAAGATGTTGGGAATGGACTGGTTTATTCAGTAAATCGTGTTAAGTACATTGACTAATAGTGTGTAGGATTGAAGTTATATTTACTGAATTCTTTAAGGTATGGTCAAAACAGACTGAATAATCAAATGTAAAAATGATCTGGAGAAAACCTTCTTGTTTTGTTTTTTGAGATGGAGTCTCACTCTCTCATCCAGGCTGGAATGTAGTGGGGTGATTTTGACTGACTGCAACCTCAGTTTCCCAGGTTCAAGTGATACTCCTGCCTCAGCCTCCCAAGTAGCTGGGATTACAGACATGTGTCACCATACTAGAATAATTGTATATGTTTTAAAATAGGAATAGATTTTCTAAGCTAAACTGAAGATAAATCCTAAGGAAATAGTGAGATTTCACTTGATAATTATGTGTCTGAATGAATCAGCCAATTAATAAAATGAAAACAGTTCAGGGGCAGTGGTGCATGCCTGTAATATGAGCATTTTGGAAGGCTGAGGCGGGTAGATCACTTGACGTCAGGAGTTCAAGACCAACCTGACAAACATGGTGAAACCCCATCTCTACTAAATACAAAAAAGTAGCTTGTTGTGGTGGCACATACCTCTAATCCCAGCTACTTGGGAGGCTGAGGCAGGAGAATCACTTGAACCTGGGAGGTGGAGGTTGCAATGAGCCGAGATTGCGCCATTGCACTCCAGCCTGGGCAACAGGAGCAAAACTCTGTCTCAAAAAAAAAAAAAAATCACTGCCTCACCAACTTTTTCACATAGAATGATTAAGGATTCCAGAGCCCATGCCACCTCTAGGGGCTCCTACCCCTCCCACACCACACATCTATCTTGACATGGCTAGTTACAGAGAAGAAAAGGCCCAGTAAATTAATATCACAATCATTGCCACATACCCACCAAAAGACTCAAATTAAAATTTTGACAAAATTAAGTACCAACAAGAATGCAAAGATTTGGGAATTATCAGACATTGTAAGACTGTCAGTTGGTGTGTTAACATTGGGATAAAACCAATAATAGCTAGTAAAATGGAAGATATGTTTACCCTGTAACCTATGGTTTCACCTCTTGTTTTATACTGTTCACTATACACACTATACACACTAATGGTAACCAAATAGAAATACACAAATGTTCACAACAGCATCATTTGTAACTGACAAAAATGAACACAACCCACATGTCCACCAACAATGAAGGGATACACACTGGTGTACTGTATTTTTATTTTTATTTTTATTTTTATTTTTATTTTTGAGATGGGGTCTTGCTCAGTCCCCCAGGTTGGAGTGCAGGGCACAATCTCGGCTCACTGCAATCTCTGCCTCCCAGGTTCAAGCAATTCTCCTGTCTTAGCCTCCCGAGTAGCTGGTCTTACTGATGGGTGCTGCCACTCCCAGCAAATTTTTATATTATTGGTAGAGACAGGGTTTCACCTTGTTGGTAAAGCTGGTCTCAAACTCCTGACCTGAGGTAATCCACCTGTGTCAGCCTCCCAAAGTGCTGGAATTACAGGTGGGAGCCACCATGCCTGGCCTTTTTTTTTTTTTTTTTTTTTTTTGAGACCTAGTCTCACTCTGTTGTCCAGGTTGGAGTACAGGGTGCAGTCTTGGCTCACTGCAACCTCCACCACCTCCCAAGTTCAGCTGATTCTCCTGCCTCAGCCTCCTGAGTAGCTGGGACTACAGGAACATGCCACCATGCCCAGCTAATTTTTTGTATTTTTAGTAGAGATTTGGTTTCACCGTGTTCGCCAGGATGGTCTCGATCTCCTGACCTCCTGATCCACCTGCCTCAGCCTCTCAAAGTGCTGAGATGATAAGCATTAGCCACCGCATGGCCTAATTTTTGTAGTTTTAGTAGAGATGGGGTTACACCATGTTGGCTAGGGTGGTCTGGAACTCCTGAACTCAAGTGATCTGCCTGCCTCGGCCTCCCAAAGTGCTGGGATTATAGACGTGAGCCATCGTGCCTGGCTGGTGTACTGTTTTAATAGAATGCAGAAACAATGCTAAGTGTCAATATTAAATACTTAATATTGAGTAAAAGGAGCCAGATGCAGCAGGATACAGACTTTTACTCCAATTACGTAAGAGAAAAACCAGGCAAAACCAGACTTTACTTTAGGCTTTTAAAAAATGCATAATAAGGCCAGGCACTGAGGTCAGGAGTTCGAGACCAGCCTGACCAACATGTAAAACCCCATCTCTACTAAAAATAGAAAAATTAGCCAGGCGTGGTGACACATAGCCCATGCCAGTAATCCCAGGTATTTGGGAGGTTGAGGCATGAGAATCACTTGAATCTGGGAGTTGGAGTTTGCAATGAGTCAAAATCATGCCACTATTCTCCAGCCTGGGTGACAGAGCAAGGCTCCATCTCCAAAAAAAAAAAAAAAAAGAAAAGAAAGAATAAATACATAATAAAATTATAGACAGAACCAAGGAGAGAAACGCAGATATCCACAGGTAATGTGGGTATCTGTTATATCTGTTACTAACAAGGGAAGGAAGACTTTAGGATGAGTTAGGGGCATACAGAGGACTTCTTGGTGATGATAGTGCTCTATTTCTTCACCTGGATAGGTATCACACAGACGTTTATTTAATAACTGATATATCCATATGTTTGTTTGCATATTTCACAATAAGAATGAAATGGAGGAAAGGACGGTGAATGGAAAGAGATTTCTCCATTCATAAACATTTTAAAGTCATGTTTTTCCTCAGGTTCTTCTCCAAGTTAAGTCTGAAATGGTGAAAGCAGCCAAGTGTGGTGGCTCACGCCTATAATCTCAGGACTTTTGGGAGGTAACAGAGTGAGACTCTGCCTAAAAAAAAAAAAGAGAACAACAGAGTGGTTATCAGGTAGAGAGGAAGGGAGGAAATAAGGACATGTGGGTCAGAGATACACAGTAGCAGATATGTAGGATGAACAATCCTATACATCTATATACAACATGAGGACTATAGGTAATAAAATTATACTGTATATGGGATTCCTGCTAAATAAGATTTTACCTTCCCTTGCCACACCAAAAAATGTGGGTATCTGTGATAGATATGGTAATTTGCTTCACTATGGTAACCTTTTTACTATGTATATGTATTCTATAACATCATATGTGTACCTTAAATATACAAAATAAAATTTATTTTAAAGAGAAAAAACTGGCCAGGTGTGATAGTTCACGATGGTAGTCCCAAAACTTTGGGAGGCCGAGGCGGGCAGATCACAAGGTCAGGAGTTTGAGACCAGCCTGGCCAACATGGTGAAACCTCGTCTCCACTAAAAACACACAAAAATATTAGCCGGGTGTGGTGGTACACACCTGTAATCTTAGCTACTCAGGCAGTTGAATTGCTTGAACATAGGAGGCAGATGTTGCAGTGAGATGAGATCTCACCATTGCACTCCAGCCTGGGTGACAGGCTGAGACTCCACCTCAAAAAAAAAAAAAAAAAAAAAAAAAAAATATATATATATATATATATATATATATATATATATATATATAGAGAGAGAGAGAGAGAGAGAGAGAGAGAGAGAGAGAGAGAAATTATGAAAGTATGCACAACAAAATTAAAATGTCACCTCTAAAGTGAGCTACTGAGTGACTGGGGTGCATGAGAGAAAAGTTTACTTAACATTTTTATACCTATTAAATTGTATCCTTTGTATGCATTATAAATTTAAATGTGCAATAATGCAGATAACCGAAATGTGGGTATGCTTTGATTAGGACTTTGCATTTCCCATTTGCTCAAATTCCTTTTGATTCTAGATGCATATGAATAGAAATACAAAATGTAAGGAGACACGAGAGTTCTGATAGCCCTTTCTTCTTTCCACATTTTGTGTCTCTGGCTGTAGTTTGCCATATGAGTCCATATGGCTAATGAGCAAAATGTTTTTCAGATGGATATATGTGATCAAGTATTGCAAGTTAAAGATATTTCTGAATCTTGGACCTCTTATTTACAGTGAAGCCCCCTCATGCATAGAAAGCAGAGAGGAATGTAAAAGGTTGCTGCCTCAATAATCAATTATTGGTGAGCAATAATTAAAGGTAATGTAAAATGAGACAATTATTGCTTTTCATCATATCTTGAAAGAACTCTTACAGTCCATGATTTTGAAAAAAAAATCTAAGTTCACTCTTTTCTTTTCTATAACAAAAATACATTATCCAGTAGAAGTTCAAGAGTAAAATCTGAAGGCAGCTTATCTGACCTGGCCACATGGTCTTGCCACTTGTTAAATATAACTTTCTACACACTAACTTCTCCAGACCTCAGATCTTCAACTCTCTAAAATGGAAACCTAGTAGTATTTGCCTCTAGAACTGCAGCTGAACTGAGCATTTTAGGGAAGGAACAAACATACACACAATATATATATATAGTCAGATTATGAACCCAGTGTAGCCCAGAACGCAAAAATTTCTCAGTAACAGAGATCCCCAAGAGAAAAATGTGATTTAGCCTATCTCAGTGGCCTTTCATGTGGCAAATGAAAGGTTAAAGTCCATAATGAGAAATATATGGGCAGCCAGTGACACCATCCATTCAATGTAGACTCTCAACATCTCCAACAGTCATTCCCTGTTGTACCCCAACCTGCTTATATATTGGGGTGATATCACCTTTTGATCATAACGTACATAAACCTCAAGCCTCAGTAAGAAATATTTATGGATAATCAGATATTCTGTGTTTCCAGTCAAAACTCAGGTAGATCACATTTTATGTGACAGGAGAAGGCACAGTTGATGCCCAGTTAACCCTGAGATCATCTCTGTCTGCATCTTCCTATCATCATAGCAAGCTCTTTCCCTGCAGTCCACTGTCTGTATCTGCCCTTTGCTATATAGATAGCAAAAATAAGCATCTGAAAACATGCTCAACACCATATGTCACTAGGGAATTCAAATTAAAACAATGATGAGATACCATTACACATCTATTAGACTGGCTCAAATCCAAATGCTGACACCAACAAATGCTGATGAGGATATGGAGCAACAGGAACTCTCATTGATTGCTGCTGGGAATGCAAAATGGTAAAGCCACTGTGGAAGGCAGTTTTGCAAATTCCTGCAAAACTAAACATATGCTTACCATATGATCTGGCAATTGCATTCTTTGGTATATACTCAAATGACTTGAAAACTTATACCCACTCAAATTCTGCACATGAATGTTTATAGCAACTTATACATAACCAACAAAGATTGGAAGTAACCAAGATATCCTGCAATAGGGAAATGGATAAACTAACTGTGAAGCATTCATACAATGGAATATTCTTGAGGAATAAAAAGAAATGAACTACCAAGGCATGACAAGACATGGAGGAATCTTAAACACGTATTTCTAAGTGAAAGAAGCCAATGAAAAAAGGCCACATAGTGTAGAGTTCCAATTATATGGAATACTAGAAAAGGCAAAACTAGGCAGATGGTATTACAAAAAGTTCAGTAGTTGCCAGGGGCTTGAGCAGAGGGAAGGATGAATAGGTGGAACACAGAAGATTTTTAGGGCAGTGAAACTTTTCTGTGTGACCCTATAATGGTGGATATATGTGCTTAAGCATTTGTCGAAGCCCATAAATGGTAGAACACAAAGAGTGAATCTTAATATAAGCCATGAACTTAATAATATCAATATTGGCTCATCAAGCATAACAAATGTACCACAGTAACAAGATGATAATATAGGAAGTGTGTGTACTGTGGTGTGAGGCAGATATTAGAGCTCAATATGCCTTCTGCTCTATTTTTCTGTACACCTACAACTGTTCTAAAAATTAAGTCAATTATTTATTTGTTAATTATTATTTTCTAATATATTTTTCGAGATGGAGTCTCACTCTGTTGCCCAGGCTGGAGTGCAACAGCATGATCTTGGCTTACTGCAACCTCTGACTCCCAGCTTCAAGCGATTCTGCCACCTTAGTCTCCCTAGTAGCTGGAATTACAGGCACCCGCTACCATGCCCAGCTAACTTTTTGTATTTTTAGTAGAGATGGGGTTTCACCATGTTAGCCAGGATGGTCTTAATCTGCTGACCTCGTGATCCATCCACCTTGCCCTCCCAAAGTGCTTGGATTACTGGTATGAGCCATCGCACCAGGTCTTATTTATCTTTTTGAGACAGGTTTTAGCTCTGTCACTCAGGCTGGAGTGCAGTGGTGCAATTATGGCTCAATGCAGCCCCAACCTCCAGGGCTCAAGTAGCTCTCGCACCTCAGCTTCCTGAGTAGCTGGGACCACAAGCGTGTGCCACCATACCTGGCACATTTCTTAGACCTCTGAAAAGATGCTCAACACCATATGTCACTAGAAATACTTAGTATTCAACTAGAGGCTTCAATGGGCTCTGAAATATCCCCTCCTGAACTCTATAAAAAGCGTGTTTCCAACCGGCTGAATGAAAACAAAGGTTTACATCTGTAAGATGAATTCACACATCAGAAAGCATTTTCACTAAGAACTTCTCTAGTTTTATAGCAGGATGTTCATTTTTTCAATATTGGTCTCAATGGGCTCCAAAATGTCCCTTTGTACAGTCTACACAAATTTTTGCCAATGTACTGAATCAAAAGAAATGTTTAACACTGTGAGATGAATTTTCACATCACCAAACATTTTTACAGATAATTTGTATCTAGTTTTTAATCACAAAACTTTGAATTTTTCACTATAAGCCTCAAAGGGCTCTAAATTGTCCCCTCTTAGCTTCTACTAAAAGAGAGTTTTGAACCTACTGTGTAGAAACAAAAGTTTAACTCTGTGAAATAAATCCCCACATTGCAAAGCTATTTCAGAGATAGCTTGCTTCTAGTTTTTATCACGAAGTATTCAACTTTTCACTATAGGCCTCAATGGGCTCCGAAATGTCCCTTCATACATTCTACAAAAAGAGTGTTTCCAACTTAGCTGAATCAAAAGAAACTTTAAACTGTATGAGATGAAACCGCAAATTGCAAAGCATTTTCACATATAGCTTCTATAGTTTCTATCATATAATATTCAGTTTTTCACTATAGGCCTCCATGGGCTATGAAATGTCCCCTCATAGGTTCTATAAAAAGGTGTTTCCAACATGCTGAATGAAAACAAAGATTTAACTTTGTGAGATGAACCCACACATCACAAACCATTTTTATAGATAGATTTTCTCTAGTTTTTATTGCAGAATATTCAATTTCATGCTATAGGCCTCAATTTGCTCCAAAATTTCCCCTTGTAGATTCTACAAAAAGAATATTTCCAACCTGCTGAATCAAAACAAATGTTCAATTCTGTGAGATGATATGCAAAGCTTTTTCACAGATAGCCTGTTTCTAGTTTTTATCCTGGGGTATTTGGTTTTTCACTGTAAGCATCAATGGGCTCTGAAATGTCCCTTTGTAGATTCTACAAAAAGAGTGTTTCCAACCTGTTGAATCAAAATAAAGTTTTAACTTTGTGAGATGAACCCACACATCACAAAGCATTTTCACCCATAGCTTGTTTCTAATTTTTACCATGGGTTATTGGTTTTTCACTAAATGCCTCAATGGACTATGAATTGTTGCCTTGTAGGTTGAACAACCAAAGAGTTTCCAACCTGCTGAAGCAAAACACAGGTTTAACTTTGTAAGATGAATCTACCCATTGCAAAGAATTTTTACACATAGGTTGCTTTGAGTTTTTATCAAGAGATATTTGATTTTTCACTGTATGCTTCAATGGGTTATGAAATCTCCCCTTGTAGATTCTACAAAAAAACTTTTGAGATGAAATCGCACATCACAAAGTATTTTCAGAAATAGCTTCTTTATAGTATTTATCGCAGGATGTTAGATTTTCCTATATTAGCCTCAACGAGCTCTGAAATGTCCCTTTGTAGATTGCACAAAATGAGTGTTTCCAACCTATGGAATAAAAAGGAAGGTTTAACTCTCTGAGATAAATCCAGGCATCACAAAGCATATTCACAGATGGCTTGTTTCTAATTTTTATTGTGGGATATTCGGTTTTTCACTAAAGGCCTCAAGCACTCCGAAATGTCCCTTTGTAGGTTATATAACAAGAGTGTTTTATGGCTGCATACTATTCCATGGTGTATATGTGCCACATTTTCTTAATCCAGTCTATCACTGTTGGATATTTGGGTTGGTTCCATGTCTTTGCTATTGTGAATAGTGCCACAATAAACATACGTGTGCATGTGTCTTTATAGCAGCATGATTTATAGTCCTTTGGGTATATACCCAGTTCTTGTCCTTTGTAGGGACATGGATGAAATTGGAAATCATAATTCTCAGTAAACTATCGCAAGAACAAAAAACCAAACACCGCATATTCTCACTCATATGTGGGAATTGAACAATGAGAACACATGGACACAGGAAGGGGAACATCACACTCTGGGGAGTGTTGTGGGGTGGGGGGAGGAGAGAGAGATAGCATTGGGAGATATACCTAATGCTAGATGATGAGTTAGTGGGTGCAGTGCACCAGCATGTCACATGTATACATATGTAACTAACCTGCACATTGTGCACATGTACCCTAAAACTTAAAGTATAATAATAATAATAAAAAACAGTGTTTTAAAAGTGCTGAATCAAAGCAAATGTGTAACTCTTTGAGAGGAATCCACACATCACAAAGCATATTTTCAGATCACTTGTTTCTAGTTTTTAAAGCATGATATTCATTTTTTCACTATATGCCTCATCGGGCTCAGAAATGTCTCCTAGTAGATTTTACAAAACCAGTGTTTCCTACCTGCTGAATCAAAACAACAGTTTAAATCTGTGAGGTGTCTCCAAACTTCGCAAAGCATTTTCACAGACAGTTTTTTCCTAGTTTTTATCGCAGGATATTCGGTTTTTCAGTATAGGCCTCAGTGAACTCTGAAATGTCCATTCATAGGTTCTTTAAAAGTCTGTTCCCAACTCCCTGTATAAAAACAAAGGTTTAACTCTGTGAAATGAATCTACACATTGGAAATCACACAAATAGCTTGTTTCTAGCTTTTTTGATGAGACATTTGATTTTTTACTATTGGCCTCATTGGGCTCAGAAATGTCTCTTTGCAGATTCTACAAAAAAAGTTTTTCATTTTTCTGAACAAAAATAAAGGTTTAACTCTTTGATATGAAATCACATATCACAAAGAATTTTCACAAATAGCTTGTTTCTAGGGTTCATCACTGGATATTGGGTTTTTCACTATAGGCTTCAATGGAGTCTTAATTGTAACTTCTTAATTCTACAAAAAGAGTGTCCCCCAACCTGCTGTATGTAAATAAAGGTTTATCTCTGTGAGACAAATCTTCACATTGCAAAGCATTTTCCCCGATAGCTTGTTTCTAGTTTTTATCTCAGGATATTGATTTTTCACTATAGGCTTCAATGGGCTTTGAAAGATTCCTCTGTAGATTTCACAAAAAGAGTGTTGTAACCTGCTGAATCAAAACAATGTTTAACTTTTTGAGATAAATCCACACATCACAGAGCATTTCCACAGATAGTTTTTTTGTTTTTTTTTTTTTTTTTAGATGGAGTCTCAGTCGCCCAGGCTGGAGTGTAGTGGTGTGATCTCGGCTTCCCGGGTTCACGCCATTCTCCTGCCTCAGCCGCCCAATTAGTTGGGACTACAGGTGCCCACCACCACGCCTGGCTAATTTTTTGTGTTTTTATTAGAGACCGGGTTTCACTGTGTTAGCCAGGATGGTCTTGATCTCCTGTCCTTGTGATCCGCCTGCCTCAGCCTCCCAAAGTCCTGAGATTACAGGCATGAGCCACCGTGCCTAGCTAATAGCTTTTTTTACTTTTATTGTGGGATATTGGTTTTTCACTACAGGCTGATATTGGCTTCAAATTGTACCCTCATAGATTCTACAAACTGAGTTTTCAAGCATCTGAAGCAAAATAAAGGTTTAACTTTGTAAGATGAATCCTGCGCATTATTGCTGGATATTCGGTTTTTCACTGTAGGCATCAATTTGCTCTGAAATATCCTATTGAAGATTTTACCAAAAGAATATTTCCATCCTGCTGAATCAAAAGAATGGTTTAATTCTGTGAGATGAAATCACCCATCGTAAATCATTTTCAGAGACAGCTTCATATAGTTTTTATCTCAGAATATTCGGTTTTTTACTATAAGCCTCAATGGGCTTTGAAATACCTCCTCATAGATTGTACAAAAAAAAAGGAGTTTCCAAACTGTTGAATCAAAACAAATATTTAATGTTGTGAGATAAATTCAAATATCGCAAAGCATTTTCACAGTTTTTTTTCTCTAGTTTTTATCGTGGAATATTCGGTTTTTCACTATAGTCTTCACTGGGCTCAGAAATGCTCTTTGTAGATTCTACAAAAAGAATGTTTCTAACCTGCTGAACAAAAACAAAACTTTAACTCTTTGAGGTGAATCCACACATTGCAAGCATTTTCACAGATAGCTTGTTTCTAGTTTTGATCACGGAATATTGGATATTTTACAATAGGCCTCAATGGGCTCAGAATTGTCCCCTCTTAGATTCTACTAAAAGAGTGTTTCCAAAATGCTGTACAAAAATAAAGGCTTAACACTGTGAGATGAATCGACACATCACAAAGCATTTTCACAAGTAGCTTGTTTTTACTTTTTGTCGTGAGATATTCAGTTTTTCAATATATTCCTCCATGGGCTCTGAAATGTCCCTTCCTAGATTCTATGAAAAGACTGTATCCAACTGACTGAATCAAGACAAAGGTATAACTCTGTGCGAGAAATCCACACATCACAAAGCATTTTCACTGATAGCTTGTTTCTAGTTTTTATCATGGGATAATTGGTTTTTGACTATAGGCCTCAATGGGCTTCAAAGTGTCCCTTTGTAGATTCTTCAATCCCGCTCAATCAAAGCAAAGGTTTAATTCTCTGAAATGAATCTACACATCACACATCATTTTCCAGTATAGCTTGTTTCTATTTTTTATTGTGGGATATTTGATGTTTTACTTTAGACTTCAATGGGCTCTGAAATGTGCCTTCTTAGATTCTACAAAGAGTGTTTCTCACCTGTTAAGTCAAAACAATGGTTTAACTTTGTGAGATAAGTCCACACATTGCAAAGCATTTTTACTAATAGCTTATTTCTAATTTTTATCATGGGATATTCAGTTTTTTCAGTGTAGGCCTCAATGGTCTCTGAAATGTACCCTCGTAGATTCTACAAATAGAGTGTTGTAACCTGATAAATCAAACCTTTAATTCTGTGAGATAAATCTATAAATCTACACATCTCAAAGCATTTTCACAGATAGCTTGTTTCCGGTTTTTATCACAGGATATTTGATTTTTCACTATAGACCTCAATAGGCTCTGAAATGTCCCCTCATAGAGTCTACAAAAAGAGTGTTTTCAAACTGCTGAATAAAAGCAAAGGTTTAACTCTGTGACATAAAATAACAAATCATAAAACATTTTCACAGTTGCCTTGTTTCTAGTTTTTATCATGCGATACTCAGTTTTTCGTGACAGGGCACAATGGGCTCCAAAATGTCCCTTTGTACTTTCTACAAAAAGAGTGATTTTGGCCTGCTGAATAAAAACAAAGGTTTTATACTGTGAGAGGAATCCACACATAGGAAGGAATTTTCACAGATAGCTTGTGTCTAGTTTTCATTGCAGGATGTTCAGTTTTTTCATATACTTCTTGATGGGCTCTGAAATGTCTCTTCATATACTCTACAAAGACAGCATTTACAACCTGCTGAATAAAAACAAAGGTTTAACCCTGTGAGTTGAATCCACACACCACAAAGCATTCTCATATATAGGTTGTTTCTAGTTTTTATCTTGAGATATTACGTTTTTAACTTTAGGCCTTAATGTTCTCTAAAATGTGCCATTTTAGTTTCTACAAAAACAGTGTTTCAACCTGCTGAATTAAAACAAGGTTTAACTCTGTGATATGAATTGACACATCACAAAGTATTTTCACAGATAGCTTTTTACTAGTTTTTGTCATGGGATTTTCAGTTTTTCACTAATGGCTTTCATGTACTCTGAAATGTCCCTATGTAGATTTTACAAAAAGAGTGTTTCTGACCTACTGAATCAAAACAAGTGTTTAAATCTGTGAGATATATCCATACATTGCAAAGCACTTTCACAGATTGCTAGTTTCTAGCTTTTATCATGAGATACTTCGTTTTTCACTATAGACCTCAATAGTCTCCCAAATGACTCTCATAGATTGTACAAAAAGAGGGTTTTCAAAGTGCTGAATCAAAATAAAGATTTAACTCAGTGAGGTGAATCCACACATTGCAAAATATTTTCACAGATATCTTGGTTTTGTTTGTTTGTTTTGTTTTTATTGTGGGATATTTCGTTTTTCACTATAGGCCTCAATGGGCACCAAAATATCTTCTCCTAGATTCTACAAACTGACTGTTTCCAACTTGCTTAATCAAAACAAAGGTTTAACTCTGTGGTATGAATACACACATCCCAAAGGATTTTCACAGATAGCTTGTTTCTAGTCTATATCTCCTCGTATTTTGTTTTTCACTGTAGGTTTCAATGAGTTTTGAAATGTTTATTCGTAGATTGTGCAAAAAGAGATTTTAAAGCTGCCAAATTAAAACAGATGTTTAACTCTTTGAGTTGAATCCACACATTGCAAAGCATTTTCACAGATAGCTTGTTTCCAGTTTTTATCATGGGATATTCGGTCTTTCACTGTAGTAGTCCTCAATGGACTCTGAAATGGCCCTTAGTAGATTCTACAAAAAGAGTGTTTCCAACCTGCTGAATCAAAACAAATGTTTAACTCTGTGAAAGGAATCCACACAAGGCAAAGCATTTTCACAGATAGCTTGTCTGTAGTTTTTATTGCAGGATATTCAGTGTTTTAATGTACTTGTCCATGGGCTCCGAAATGTCCCTTCCTATATTCTACAAAAATAGTGTTTTCTACATGCTGAAAAAATAACATATGTTTAACTCTGAGAGATGATTACCCAAATCACAAGACCTTTTCACAGATAGCTTGTTTCTAGTTTTCCTTGTGGGATATTTAACTTTTCACTATAGGTCTCAATGAGCTTTGTAATGTCCTTTTGTACAATCTGCAAAAAGAGGGTTTCCAGCCTGCTGAATCAAAACAAAGGTTTAACTCTGTGAGATAGATCCACACATTGCAAAACATTTTCACATTTCTACTTTTCATTGTAGGATACTCGCTTTTTCCAAATACTTCTCCAGGGGCTCCATATTGTCCCTTCATTGATTCCACAAAAAGAGTGTTTCCAACCAGCTAAATCAAAACAAAGGTTTAACTCTGTGAGTTAAATCTACGCATTGCAAATCATTTTCACAGATAGCCTGTTTCTCATTTTTATCACAGGATATTCAGTTTTTCACCATAGGCCTCAATGGGCACTAAAATGTCTTCTCATAGATTCTAAAAACAGACTGCTTTCAACCTGCTTAATCAAAAGAAAGCTTTAACTCCATGATATGAATCTACACATTGGAAAGCATTTTCACAGATAGCTTGTTTGTAGTTTTTTTCTCCACATATTTTGTTTTTTACTATAGGCTTCAATGGGCTTTGAAATATTTCTTTGTAGATTCTGCAAAAAGAGTGTTTCCAACCTGCATTTTTAAAACACTGGTTTAACTCTGTGGCATGAATCCACAATGGCAAGGCATTTTCACAGATAGCTTTTTTCTTGTTTTTTTTTTTTTTTTTTTTTTTTTTTTTTTTGGGTGGGGGGAGATATTTGGTCTTTCACTGCAGGTCTCAATGGGCTCTGAAATGGCTCTTCATAGATTCTACATAAAGAGTGTTTCCAACCTGCTGAATCAAAACAAATATTTAACTCTGGAAGATGAATCCACACATCACAAAGCATTTTCAGTTATAGACTTTTATTGTTTTTATTGTGAAATATTCTGTTTTTTACTATAGGCATCAATGGGTGTGAAATACCCCTTCATGTTTTCTATAAAATAGAATTTTCAACCTGCTGAATAAATGCAAAGGTTTAAATCTGTGAGATGCACCCACACATTGCAAAGCATTTTCAAAGACAGCTTGTTTCTACTTTTATCATGAGATATTTTGTATTTCACTATGGGCCTCAATGGGCTTCAAACTGTCCCTCTGTAGATTCTACACAAAGAGTGTTTCCAATCTGCTTAATCAAAAAATGATTAACTCTGTGAGATGAATCCACACATCACAAATAATTTTTACTGATAACTTGTTTCTGGATGTTATCGTGGGATAATCGTTTTTTCATCAACCTGCTGAATCACAAGAAAGATTTAACTCTGTGAGATGAAATCGCACATTGCGTATAACTTTCAGACACAGCTTTTTTGTAGTTTTTATCACAGAACATTAAGTTTTTCACTACAGGTTTCAATGGACTTTGAAATGTCCTTGTGTAGATTGTACAAGGAGAGTGTATCCAACCTGCTGAATGAAAACAATGTTTAATTCTTTGAGATGAATCCACACATCCCAAAGCATTTTTACAGATAGGTTGTTTCCATTTTTTATCATGAGATATTAGGGTTTTCACTATAGGTTTCAATGGGCTCTGAAATGTTTCTTCGTACATTCTAGAAAAGGAGTGTTTCAATTTTGATTGAACTGAGTGTTCTGATTCTGCCAAATCAGAAGAAAGTTTTAACTCTGTGAGTTGGATCCACACATTGCAAAGCTTTTTCACAGATAGCTTGCTTCTAGTATCTTTCATGGGATATTTGGTCTTTCACTATAGGCCTCAATGGGCTCTGAAATGTTTTTATGTAGAATCTACAAAAAGAGTTTTTCCAAACTGCTAAATTAAAACAAAGTTTTAAATATGTGACATTATTTCACATATCACAAAGCATTTTCCTGGATAACTTGTTTGTAGTTTTTATCACGGGATATTCTGTTTCTCACTATAGGCCTCAGGGGTTCGAAATGTCTTCCCTTAGATTTATGAAAAACGTGTTTCTAGCCTGCTGAATGATAACAAGTGTTTAACTCTGTGAGATGAATCCAGACACTGCCAGTCATTTTCACAGATAGCTGTTTTCTGGTTTTGTGTGTGAGGGATATTTGCTTTTTTACAATATACCTCAAAGGTCTCAGAAATTCCCATTCATAGATTCAACAAAAAGAGTGTTTCCAAATTGCTGAATTAAAACAGTGGTTTAACTCTGTGAGATGAATCCAAACATTGCAAAGCATTTGGACAGATATCTTCTGTCTAGTTTTTACCGCAGGATAATCGATTTTTCATTATTGGCCTCAAAGGTCTTTGAAAATGCTCTTCATAGATTCTACAATAAAAGTGTTCTCAACCTGTTGAATCAAAAATTTAACTCTAGGAGATGAATCAACACATCACAAACCATTTTCACTGATACCTTATTTCTAGGTTCTATCACGGGATATTCAGTTTTTCACTATATGCCTCAAAGGGCTCCGAAATGTCCCTCCAAAGATTCTACAAAAAGAGTGTTTCCAAAATGCTAAATAAAAAAAAGTTTAACTCTGTGAGAAGAATCCACACATCACAAAACATTTTCACTGATAGCTTGTTTTTAGTTTTCATCGTGTAATATTTGTTTTTTGTGTTTGTTTATTTGTTTTACTATAGGCCCCAGTGAGCTCTGACATTTTTTCTTTTTAGATTCAACAAAAAGAGTGTTTCCAACCTATGGAATCAAAAGAAAGGTTTAAATTTGTAAGATGAATCCACACATCACAAAGCATATTCACAGATAGCAAGCTTCTAGTTTTTTTTCGCAGGATATTCTGTTTTTCACTGTAGGCCTCAATGGGCTTTGAAAAGTTTATTGGTAGATACTACAAAAAGACTGTTTTCAACCTGCTGAATCAAAAGAAAGGTATAACTCTTTGAGATGAGCCTACACATCCTAAAGCATTTTCACACATAGCTTACTCCAGGTTTTTATCGTGAGATATTCTGTTTTTCACTATAGACCTCCATGGGCTCCAAAATGTCCCTTTGTAGATTCTACAGAAAGAGTGTTTCCAAATTGCTGAATTAAAACAAAGGTTTAACTGTGTGACATTATTTCACAGATCACAAAGCATTTTCACAGATAGCTTGTTTCTAGTTTTTATCGCGGATATTTTGTTTTAAACTCCAGGCCTCAATGTGCTTCAAAATGTCTCATCTTAGATTTCACAAAAAAAACATGTTTCTAACGTGCTGAATCAAAACAAAAAGTTGGGTCTGTGAGATAATTCCATGCCTCACAAAGCCTTTTGATAGATAGCTTGCATTAAGTTTTCATCACGGGATATTCCATTTTTCTCTATAGGCATCAGTGGGCTCCAAAATGTCCCTTTGCAGATCCTATGGTGAAAGTGTTTCTAAACTGCTGAATTAAAACAAAGATTTAGCTTTGTGAGATAAATCCAGACATTGCAAAGCATTTCACTGATAGTTTGTTTCTAGTTTTTATCACAGGATAGTCAGTTTCTTACTATAGGCCTCAATTTGCTCTGTAATATCCCCTCTTAGATTCCAGAAAAGGAGAGTTTCCAGCCTACTGAATCACAAGAAATGTTTAACTCTGTGAGATAAAAATCACACATTGGAAAGCATTTTCAGACATAGCTTCTTTGTAGTTTTTAATCGTGGGATATTTGGTGTTTCACTATAGGCCTCAATGGATTTTGAAATTTTCCCTCATAGGGACACAAAAAAAGTGTCTTTATCCTTCTGAATCAAAACAAAGTTTTAACTGTGAAAAGAAAATCCACACATAGCAAAGCATTTTTACCATATCTGCCAACAAGGAAACTCTTGTTCTCCCACTCTTATCAGAGGGCTGCATGATTCCTATAGGATGAGAAGCAGGCAGCGGTGTCAGGATTTGCCTGGTCATCTAGGCTCTGTTACAGTCATCTGCATATTCTTTTTCACTGTGGAGGGGATCTTTTATTGATCTGTTGCTATGGGGGACTGCCTCTCTCTACAGATCTTTTGGCTGCCAGGGATTTCAGGGAGCAAAAAGTACTTCGGGTAGGCTGGCTGCACTCCAGGTTGTGAGTAGTGGTCTCACTGTGGGGGATTGGGGTGTTTGCAGGAGGCTTTTGGGTCCTCTGGCAGGAATCCTTGAACATGGCTTGGACGCTAGCACAGGCCCTCTCATTCTCCAAGGCAAGAATTGATTTTCCATTGCTTTCATGAGGAGTCCATACTACTCTTCATCAGCGCTCCTAAACACACTTTTTTTGGTTTGCAATTGCCTCAGACGGTGACTGAGACACTCTCTGAACTGCATCTGCACTCGTGAGGTCTGTTCAAAGTGTAAGACTTCTGCTTCACCTTCAACTTGCCTTTGTCATAGTTCCTGCCTTTCCCAGAGAGCCATGTTGAGTAGCAGGAGCCCCTGTGAGGCCCAGGATGAAGGGAGGCAGTGAGCTCAAGGGCCCTGCCATTTTCTGCTGACATCTGCCTCTGGGGTCTTCGGTATGATTTCATCACCTGGACACCCCTTAACATCTCAGCAGACTGTATTCTCTTCCCCCATGGGACCCAATTCTTGCACACAGCCTCTTTGGGGAATGGAATCAGAGGAACAGTTTCCAGCGCCCCACATCACAGTCTCCAAGTGCCTCCTCCTCCAGCGGGACCTGACCATGAAGATGGCCTGAACGGGCCTGCCTAGAGGGTGTGGGGGTGAGTCTTTTTGAAATGTGCTCCCCTCCGTGATGTCTAGGTACAGCCCACCTGTGTTCCCCAGGCTGCTCTCTCCAGAGGAGCTTCCTGCAGAAACACACAGCCTCTGAAGCTGCTGGGATGTGTGTTCCTGTGGGAGTGTTTCAAGTCGTGGATATCTGTGTGTGGCTGCGGTCATGTGAGTGTGTGTGTGTGTGTGTGTGTCTGTGTGTGGAGGTAAGTGGAGTCTGCTGAAAGAAATGTGGCTAACACACTGCAGCACTGTTTTTGTCACCCCATCTTCCGGTGGCCTGTCTCTGTGGCTCTGCTTGGGCTGAAGGTCTCCATGTTCTTCATTTTTCCATGGCTCCTGAATCCACAGTGAATTGGAAGAATGGCTGACAACTGCCAGGTTCAAAATCACCTCCCCTTGCCAAAAAGCCACATTTCTACAAAGAAGAGAAGCACACCACACCCCAAAACAGACAACTCCCCGTGCTTTATTGTTCTGTGGCCAACCCAGGGCCAGACCCCAGCAGTCCAGTCGCAGGGCTTCTTGAATTTACCTCGATTTTGGTTTGTAGCTGAGCAGGTGCTTCAGGTCATCAGGGAGGCACTCCTCCATTGTCTCAGAATTTTATTCTGGGACACAGAGTGTGAGCAACAATAAGGTCAGATAGGGGTGAGGATACAGTCTGTTGAGGTGTGGATGGGATCTCACACCTTCACCTGCAAAAAAGGTGCAGACAGATGACACAGAAGTTGCTTCCAACTGCATCCCCTCATTCCCTTCATTGCACAGTAAACAGCATGGCCTGGTGCCCGGGTGGGATGACTCAATCGTGCAAGGAAAAGTTGGATTGCAAACTGGGACCCTTCTGGCCAGCTCCAGAATTCAGCTTCCATTCCCAGAGCCACATTGGAGTGAGATGGACTGATGCTGGCTTGGATGTGGCCTCCACACTGTCCTCCTCTTTTCCTGACTTCCATGTTCCTTGTGGGCCTAGAGTTTCCTAGGTCTGGCTCAGTCTGACTTCCATGTTCCTTGTGAACCTGGGGTTTTTCTGGGTCTGGCTCAAAGTCTTCCACACTAAAAGTTTCCCAGTTCATGGAGGACGATTCTCATGGGAATCCATTGCATGAGTGTTTTCTTATAAACACTGTCACATTTTAATTACTGGGCAGTTGTGATACTTTCGGAATCATAAATTTCGATTATATACACCATCAAGATAACTTGTTCTCCCACTTCTAAAAGACAGCTGCATGACTCCTGTAGGATGAGAAACAGGCAGCTGTGTCTGGCTTTTACTTGGAAATCTAGGCTCTGTTTCATGTCATCTGCACTTCCTTTCTCATTGTGGATGGGGTATTTCATTGGGCTGTTGGTGGGTGGGACTGACTTTCATTGTGCATATTTTGGTTGCCAGGTATATCAGAAAGCAAAAGGTATTTTGGGTAGGCTGGCCGCACACCAGGTTGTGGGTAGTGGTCTCATAATGGTGGCTGGCATTGTTTACACTTTGCAGGAGGCTTTTAAATTCTCTGGCAGGAATCCTTCAACATGGCTTGGACTCCTGCACAAGTTTGCTCATTCTCCCAGGAGAACCTTGACTTTTCTTTGCTTTCATGGGGGGTCCACAGTGCCCATCAACAGCACACCTGGATGTTATTTTCAGGTTTCAAATTGCCCCAGACATCCTCTGAGACACTCTCTTAACCTCATGTGCACCTGCGAGAGGCCTGTTTTAGGTGTGAGAACAGTGCTCCACCTTGGACTTGCCTTTGTCATGGTTCCTGCCTTTACCAGAGAGCCATGCTGAGAAGCAGGAGCCCCTGTGAGGCCCAGGATGAAGAAAGGCAGGGGGTTCAAGGGCCTGGCCATCTTCCACTGACACCTGCCTCTTGGATCTCAGATATTATTCCATCACCCAGAGACCTCTTAACAACTCACCAGACTTTATTCCCATCCCCAGGAGACCGAATTCATGCACACAGCCTCTTTTGGGAATGGACTCAGAAGAGCAGTCTCCAGATCCCACCTCACAGTCTTCAAACTCCTCCTTCTCCTGTGGGACCCTACCACGGAGATGGCTCATGAAGGCCCTATGTTTGAGACTATTAGCATGCTGCAGTCGGTTGCTGCAGGCAGCCTTTTTCTGGAGACTAGGCCAGCTCTGGCTGTACCATTTTCCTGAGCTTTGCCAGGCTTACAGCCCTGACAGCCAGGTGCCAGAGCCTGCTTTGTGGATGCGCATGTGACAGTCAGGCCACCAGGCACCAGTGGTGAGCAGCGGCTCACATCACAGTGAATGCCACCATTGGCTGGTGACAAGTCCCTTCATCTTGGTGGAGAAGGAGTCCTCTGTGGCTGTGTGTTGGCATTGAACTATCACCTGTCTACTCTGAGGGCTCTATGGGATATTCCCACAATCCTAGGAGTGGGCAGTGGTGAGCCAGCCTGAAGACACATCAAGTGGAGTCCCAGGAATAAACCACAAAATCCCTAAGGATCCAAAAGGATACCCACGATGAGTCAGGCCTGCCTAGACGATGTGGGAGTGAATCTTTTTGAAATTCCCTCCCTGTGATTTCTAGGTACAGCCCGCCTCTGTTTTCCAGGGCTGCTCTCTCTCAGAAGGGGCTTCCTGCAGAACCGTGCAGCCTCAGGAGCTGCCAGTCTGTGTGTTTCTGTGGCAGTGTTGTGACTGTTTGAATGTCTGTGTGTGTGTGTGTGGCTGTATGTGTGTTTGTGTGTGTCTGTGTGTGTGTGTGTGAGGGGCATCTGTTAAAAGGAATGTGTTTAATGCACTGCAGTGCTTTTTTTTTTGAGTCCCTTCACCTTCTGGTGCACCTGTCTGTGTGGCTCTGCTTGGCCTATGGGGCTGCATGTTCTTTGTTTTTCCGTGCTTCCTGAGTCCATGGTGAGTTGGGGGGATGGTTGAGACTCACAGGTGTACAAATCACCTCCCCATACAAAGGAGCCACTCTTCTAGAAAGAAGAGGAGCACACCACTCTCAGGAGAAGACACCTGTCAGGGCCTCATTGTCCTGTGGCCAACCCAGGGCGGGACCCTAGCAGTCCTGTCCACAGGCCGCTTGAATCCAATTCGAATTCGGTTTGCAGCCGAGCAGGTGCTTCACGTCATGAAAGGAACACTCCTCCAACATCTTGGGATTTCATTCCAGAACTAGGAGTGTGAGCAGCAATAAGGTCAGATACGGGTGAGCATACAGTCTGCTGAGGTGTGGATGGGGTCCTGCACCTCCATCTGCAAAAAAAGGTGAAGACAGATGACACAGGAAGTGTTTCCAACTCCATCCTTGCATTCCCTTCATTGCACAAGCTGTCCACAACATGGCCCCGTGGTCAGGTGGGAGGCCTCCAACTTGCGAGGAATAAAAAAAGGGTTTAACTGATACAAAAAGGTTTATCTCTGTAAGATGAATCCACACATCACAAATCATTTGCAAAGATAGCTTCTTTCTAGTTTTTATGCTGGGATATTAGGTTTTTCAGTATACTCCACAATAGGCTCTGAAATGTCCCTTCATAGATTCTACAAAAAAAGGTGTTTTCATCCTGTTGAATCAAAACAAAGGTTTAACTCTGTGAGATAAATCCACACTTCACAAAGCATTTTCACAGATAGACAGTTTTTAGTTTTTACTGTGAAATATTTGGTGTTTTACTTTAGTCCTCAATGTTCACAAAAATATCTTTTTTTTTGTATATGCTACATAAAGAGTGTTCTCAACCTACCGAATGATAATAAAGGTTAAACTTTGTGAGATGAATCCACACATCACAAAGCATTTTCACTAATAGATTGTTGCTAGTATGTATCGTGGCATATTCAGTTTTTCAATATACTTGTCAATGGGTTCCAAAATGTCCTTTTGTAGATTCTTTAAAAAGAGTGTTTCCAATGTGCTGAATCAATATAAAGGTTTACCTCTGTGAGATGAATCCACACACCACCAAGCATTTTCAAATATTGCTTGTTTCTAGTTTCTATCTTGAAATATTCATTTTTTCACTATAGGCCTCAGTGAGCTCCAAAATGTCCCTTCATAGGTTGTACAAAAAGAGTGTTGCCAACCTGCTGAATCAAAACAAAGGTTTAAGTTTGTGAGACAAATCCACATATCAGAAAGCATTTTCACAGATAGCTTGCTGCTAGTTTTAATCACTGGTATTAGGTTTTTCAGTATAGCCTTCAATGTACTTTGAAGTGTCCCTTTGTAGATTCTATTAAAAGAATGTTTTCAACCTGCTGAATCAAAACAAAGGTTTAACTCTGTAAGATGAACCCACACATGGCAAAGCATTTACACAGATAGCTTGTTTCTAGTTTTTATTGCAGAATATTCAATTTTCCACAGTAGGCCTCAATGGGCTCTGAAATATCCCTTTATAGATTCTACAAAGAGTTTTTCCAACCTGCTGAATCAAAAAATGTTTTATCTCTGATAGATGAATTCACACATCATAAAAAATTTTCACAGATATTTTGTTTCTAGATTTTATCACAGGATATTAGGTTTTTCTCTATAGGCCTCAATGGGCTCAGAAATGTTCCTTCCTAGATTCTATAAAAATAGTGTTTCCAACCTGCTGAATCAAAATAAAGATTTATCTCTGTCAGATGAAGGAACACATCACAAAGCATTTTCACAGATAACTTCTTTCAAGTTTTTATGATAAGATATTTGGTTTTCCACTGCAGGCCTCAATTGGCTTCAAAATATTCCTTTGAATGTTCTTCAAAAAGATTGTTTTCGACTTGCTGTAACAAAACAAAAGTTTAACTTTGTGAGATAAATCCACACATTGGAAAGTATTTTCACAGATAGCTTGTTTCCTGTTTTTATAGCAGAATATTCGGTTTTACAACTATAGGCCTCTATGGGCTGTGAAATGTTGCTTCATAGATTCTAAAAAAGAGTTTTTCCAACGTGCTGAATCAAAACAATTTTAAGTCTCAGTTGAATCCACACAACACAAAGGATTTTCACTGATAGATTTTTCTAGTTTTTATCAAGGAATATTTGTTTTTTATTATAGTTCTCAATGGGCCTTGAAATGTCTTTTAACACGTTCCAGAATTAGACTGTCTGCAACCTGCAGAATAAAAACAAAGGTTTAACTCTGGGAGATGCATCCGTACATCACAAAGCATTTTCACAGATAGCTTATATCTAGTTTTCATTGTGGGACATTCGATTTTTTAAAAGAGCCCTCAATGGGCTCTAAAATGTCCCTTCGTAGATTCTTCATAAATAGTGCTTCCAATCTGCTAAGTCAAAACAAAGCTTTAACCTGGTGATATAAATCCACTCATTGCAAAGCATTTTCACATAAAACTTTTTCTAGTTTTCATCATGGGACATTTGTATTTTTACTACAGGCCTCAATGGGCTCCAAAGTGTCTCTTTGTAGGTTCTACTAAAAAAAAGTGTTTCCAACCCGCCTTCCGTAGATTTTCCAGAAACAGTGTTTTCAACCTCCTGAATTAAAACAAAGATTTAACTCTGTGTGATGAATCCAGACATCAGAAAGCTTTTTCACAGACAGCCTTTTCTAGTTTCTATCACAGAATATTGGTTTTTCACTACCTGCCAAAATGGGCTCCAAATTGACCTCTCATATATTCTACAAGCAGAGAGTTTCCAACCTGCTGATGCAATACAAAGGTTTAACTTTGTATGATAAAACTACACATCACAAAGCATTTTTAGAGATACCTTGTTTCTAGCTTTTATCACAGTATATTCTGTTTTTCACTACAGGCCTCAATTTGCTCTGAAATATCCTTTCGTATATTCTACAATAAGAATGTTTCCATCCTGTTGAATAAAAAGAAAGATTTAACTCTATAAGATGAAATTACACATCTCAAAGCATTTTCAGAGATAGCTTATTTATAGTGTTTATTAGGATTTTAGGTTTTTCACTATAAGCCTCAATCAATGGGCTTTGAAATATCTCCTCATCAATTGTACAAAAAGACAGTTTCCAACCTGCTGAATCAAAACAAAGGTTTAACATTGTGAGACAAATCCACAAATTGCAAAGCATTTTTACAGATAACTTGTTTCTAGTTTTTATCACGGGATATTTGATTTTTCACTAAAGGCCTCAGGGGGCTAAGAAAAGTCCCCTCTTTGATTCTACAAAATGAGTGTTTCCAAACTGCTAAGTTTCCAACCTGCTGAATCAAAACTAACATTCAACTCCATTAGATGAAGCCACACATCTCAAAGCATTTTCACAGATAGCTAGTTTCTAGTTTTCATCGTGGGATATTCAGTTTTTTACTACAGGCCTCATTGGGTTTGAAATGTCCCCTTGCAGATTCTAGAAAAATAGTGTTTCCAAACTGCTAAGTCAAAATAAAGATTAAACTCTGTGAGATGAAACCACACATTGCAAAAGATTTTTACAGATAGCTTGTTCTAGTTTTTATCATGGCATATGTGGTTTTTCACTATAGGCCTCAATGAGCTCCAAAATGTCCCTTCCTTTGTTCTACAAAAAGAATGTTTCCAACCTGCCCAATCAAAACAAGGTTTAACTCTGTGAGATGATTCTACACATTGCAAAACATTTTCACACATAGCTTGTTTCTAGTTTTTATCCTGGGATATTTGGTTTTTAGTATAGGCCTCTATGGGCTCCAAAATATCCCTTCATAGATATTACAAAAAGAGTGTTTTCAACCTTCTGAACCAAAACAAGGGTTTAACTTTGCGAGATGAATCCACATATCTCAAAGCATTTTCACAGATAATGTGTTGCCAGTTTTTATCAGGGATATTCTTTTTTTATAATAGGCCTCAAGGACTCAGAAATTTTTTATTTTAGATTCTACTAAAAGAGTGTTTCCAACCTGCTGTATATAAACATAAGTATAACTCTATGAGATAAATCCACACATCACAAACATTTTCACAGATAGCTCGTTTCTAGCTTTTATCACAAGATATTCAGTTTTCACTATAGGCCTCAGTGGGCTCTAAAATGTTCCTTTGTAGATTCCACAAAAGAGTGTTTGAAACCTGCAGAATAAAAACAAAAGTCTAACTCTGTGAGATGAATCCACACACCACAGAACATTTTCACTAATAATTTCTTGCTAGTTTCTAAGGTGGGATATTTAGTTTCTCAATATACTCATCCATGGGCTTCAAAATATCCCTTCATTGATTCTTTAAAAAGAGTGTTTCCAAACTGCTAAGTCAAAACAAATGTTTAACTCTGAGGGATAACCCATGCATCACAAAGCATTTTCACAGATAGTCACTGGAACGCTGGCCTTTCTGGAAAAGCCACCTTTTTGGTACCCCTCCCCTCATGGCCGTGGCAGTGGCACAGTGCTGTATCCTGCCTGGGCTTTGGCCTCTGCTTTGTCCTTCCTCTTGCTCTGTCTCCCCTGTTTCTGAAGGGCCTAGATGCCTCTCGCTCTCGCTGAATGTCTTCAACAATGATCACAACCCAGTCCATCAGGGAGACACTTCCTGGAGATCCCTGTCGTGATGGTTTCTCTCTTTCCAACCTGTTTCTGCTTGATAGGGCAGGATTGACCACCCTGGAGCTCTTGGCTTCCATACTTGTCTCAGACAGGGAAGCTTCCTTCCTCTCCATCTTTCACCTCATGGGTGGGTGGATTGCCTGGAATGAGCGCTAGTCGACAGTGACAGGCCTTGTCTTCTAGGACAGGTGCTGTCGCATTTCCTCTGCACTTCATGTCTCATTCGTGAAACACGTCCTCTCCTCTGCTCCTGGGTGGACTGACTCCCTGGATCTTTTGACCATAACGAATGTCGGGGAAAGGAACCAAAGGGACAGGGTTGGGGCTGGGGCTGGGGCTGGGGCTGGGGCTGGTTGCAGGGGAGGTTGGGTCAGGGCTACCTGGGCATTGGAGGGTTGGGGGTGGGGTGAATTTTGCCAAAACCTCTTTAATCCTCTGGCAGGCATTTCAAAATGTGGCTTGGACTAAGGCTCAGGCACCCTCCTCGTTCCCAGGTGTTCTTCGATTTTCCTTGGCATTGATGGAAAGGTCACTCGTTCCCCGCTTCGACCGGGCACATTCCTGGACACCATTGTTGGTTTTGCCGTCACAATGTATGCCTCCGGTGACACATTCACACCATCTGCTGTGGGATACGCCAGTGCCACGCGTGGTCACATGGTCTCCATCTCGGATTCACCCCTGTTCCTCTTTCCACGAGTCCTGTAAAGCGCGGTTGGCTTTCCGGAGCCCGAGGGCTTTTAGAAGCGGAGCAGGCCACTGCTCTTTCAAAGGAGGAAGGAAGCAGAGGGCTGATGGATCAGTAAATATGCAGCTGACACTAGGCCTTGAGACTTATGGGATTATTCTGTGCTGCAGCGAGGCCCTATGGCCTCACCAGATGTAGTGAGCCCATCCTATCTGATTCAGCGGGCCAAAATGAATCTGAAGGGGAGTCCTGAGAACACAGCAAGCATCCTGAAGCTCCCGCTCCCTCGGTGGAAGTCGGCTCAAGGAGGTCCTGAGGACAGGACTCCTGGGGCTTTGGCCCTGGGACAAGACACACGGGACCCCTCTCCCACACTGCCCCAAACTGGACCCCGGATCCACCCGCCACCGCGGCTGCAGCAGGAGCCTCGCCGCCGCCCCGAAGCGCTGCCATTATTTAAAGGGGACTCAGCCTGACTGCCAGGAGCGAAGCGCGAGTCGGCCTAGCCAATGCGCCTGCGCGAGGCGCGAGTGGCTTTTCCCATCACAGTGGTTCCACGGTTGTCTTAGAAACCAGTCTCCGAGGCTTAGAAAAGCAGGAGCCCTCCCTGGCAGTCTTTGGGTATCAGGGCTCTGAGGCTCTGGTCCTGACCTCTCCACGGGGTCTACGGGAAAGTCTCCAGATGCCAGGAGTCGCAAAGCGCCGAACAGAAAGAGGAAACCCCAGGCGGAGTCTGGGAAAAGCAGCACAGCATCCCAGCCTCAGGCCTGCCTGGACGGTGTTGGTTGGGGTGACTCTCCCCAAAAGTCGTGCCACCGTCTGTGATCTCTAAGACAGGTCGGCCTGCGTGCCCCTGGGCTGCTCTCTCATCCGGGGGTCGTTCTTGTCGAGAGTAGAACCCCGCAGTCTCAGGGGTGTCCTGGGGGTGAGTATTTCAATACCTCTGCTGGATGACTCTGTGTGTGAGTCTGTGTGTGTATGTGTGTGAGTGAGCATGTGTGTGTCTGTGTGTGTCTGTGTATGTGTTTCCCATTCTCTCTTCTCACTCTGTATCTCAGTCTCTGTGGGTTTCTATCCCACACTCTGTGGGTTTGTGTGTGTGTGCCGCTGTGGGTGGGTGTGTTTGGCTGAATGTGCCCTGTGCGCCACAAAGCGGTTTCTCGCATGGCGGCGTGTCTTTGTTGAGAGTCTTTCTGCCTTGCTGCCTGGGTCATGAGGCCTGTTGACAATCGTTTTTGCCACCGCGGATCCGCTTGGGGTGTGTGAAAGCCTGACCCACGTGAGGAGATGCTTCGGTCCTGGAGCAATTGAAGTCTCATCCCCATCCTGAGCGGCCTCTTTTCTAGGATCAAGATGAACACAATGCAGACGAGGACAAGAGCCCCACAGGAGCTCTTTGTCCCACAGGAGAGCAGCGGACCCACGTCAGAGAAGATGCTTGAGTCTTTTCACGGCTCTTCTCTGAGAAATGAAGCCACACCACGATACAGTCTGCAAGAGGAACCCGGGAATGAGAGATGGCAAAACTCCCTGTCCCTGGAACACTGGCCTCCCTGGACAAACCACCCTTTTGGAACCCCACCCCTTATGCCCGTGGCGGTGGCAAGGTGCTGTATCCTGCCTGGGCTCCAGCCTCTGCTCTGTCCTCCCTCTGGCTCTGCCTACCCTGTTTCTCAGGGGCCTGGATGCCTCTCGTTCTGGCCAAATGCCTTCAACAAAGATGACTTCCCACTCCGTCAGGGAGACACGTCCTGGAGACCCGTGTCGTGATTGTTTCTCTGTCCAAACGTCTTTCTGCTTGATTGGGCAGGTCTCATGACCCGGGAGCTCTTGGCTTCCATAGGTGTCTCAGACAGAGAAGCTTCCTTCTTCTCCACGTTTCCCCTCATGGGTGGGTGGATTGCCTAGAATCAGTGCTAGGCGACCGTGACTGGCCTTGTCTTCCAGGACAGGTGGTGTCGCATTTCCTCTACAATACCTGTCTCATTCTTGAGGGACATCCTCTCCTCTGCTCCTGGGTGGACTGACTGCCTTGATCTTCTGGGCGAAACGAATGTCAGGGAACCAAAGGGACTGGGCTAGGGCTGGGGGCTGGGGCTGGGGCTGGGTGCAGCCGAAGCTGCGTCAGGGCTACCAGGTCGGTGGAGGATTGGGGGTGTTGCGAATTTTGCAGAAACCTCTTTGCTCCTCTGGTAGGCATTCGAAAACGTGGCTTGGGTCAGGCACAGGCGGCCCCCCACCCCCCAGGGTCCCAGGTGTTCTTTGATTTTCCTTGGTATTGACGGAAAGGTCACCTGTTTCCCCCTTCCACCAGCACATGCCCGGACCCCACCCTTTGTTTCGCCGTCGCGCCGTATGCCTCCGGTGACACACATTAACACCAACTGCTGTGGGATTGGCCAGTGCCACGCGTGGTCACATGGTCTCCCCCTCGGATTCACCTCTGTTCCTCTTTACAGGTGTCCTGTAAACCGCGGTCCGCTTTCCGGAACCTCAGGACTTTTACAAGCGGGGCTGGCCACTGCTCTTTCAAAGGAGGAGGGAGGCAGAGGGCTGATGGATGAGTGAATTTGCAGCTGACACTAGGCCTTGAGACCTATGGGATCATTCTGTGCTGCAGCGAGGCCCTGCCAGCCCCTCCAATTGTGGTGAGCCCATCCTATCTCACTCGGAGGGGGCCAAAATCGGATCTCAACGGGAGTCGGGAGAACACAGCAGGCCTCCTGAGGCTCCCCCTCCCTTGGTGGAAGTCGGCTCAAGCAGGTCCTGAGGACAGGACCCCTGGGGGTTTGGGCCTGGGACAGGAGGAGACACCCGCGGCCCCCTCTCCCACGCCGCCCCACACAGGACCCAGGATCCAGCCACCGCCGTGGCGGCAGCAGGAGCATCGCGGCGCGGCGGTGGCTATATTTAAAGGGGACGCAGCCTATCTGTCAGGAGTGGAGCGCCAGTCGGCTCAGCCAATGCGCATGCGCGAGGCGGGAGCGGTTTCTCCCATCACAGTGGTTCCCAGGGTTGTCTTAGAAACCAGGCCCCGAGGCTTGGCAGTCCAGGAGCCCTCCATGGCAGTGCTTGGGTGTCGAGGCTCTGAGGCTCTGGCCTCACCTGCCACGGGGTCGAAAGGAACGTCCCCGGATGCCAGGAGTCGCAAAGGGTGGACCATGATGATGAAACCCCAGGCGGAGACGGAGGAAGCAGCATGGGATCCCAGCCTCAGGCCTGCACGGTCGGCGTTGGTTCGGGTGAGTCTCCCCAAAAGTCGTGCCGCCATCCGTGATCTCGAGGACGGGTCGGCCTGCGTGCCCCTGGGCTACTCTCTCACCCGAGGGTCTTTCTCCTCCAGAGCAGAAACCCGCAGCCTCAGGGGTTGCCTGGGGGTGTGTGTTTCAATGCCTCTGCTGTATGACTCTGCGTGTGTGTGTGTGCGTGTGTGTGTGTCTGTGTGTGTGTCTCCCATTCTCTCTTCTCTCTCTGTCTCTCAGTCTCTGTGTGTTTCTTTCCCACTATCTGTGGGTTTGTGCCAGCCGAAATTGCGTCAGGGCAACCAGGTCAGTGGAGGATTGGGGGTGTTGCCAATTTTGCAGAAACCTCTTTGCTCCTCTAGTAGGCATTCGAAAACGTGGCTTGGGTCAGGCACAGGCGGCCCCCCCACCCCCCGGGTCCCAGGCGTTCTTAGATTTTCCTTGACATTGATGGAAATGTCACCCGTTTCCCCCTTCCACCGGCACAAGCCTGGACCCCACTCTTTGTTTTGCCGTCGCGCAGTATGTCTCCGGTGACACATATTAACACCAACTGCTGTGGGATTGGCCAGTGCCACGCGTGGTCACATGGTCTCCCCCTCGGATTCGCCTCTGTTCCTCATTGCAGGTGTCCTGTAATGCGCGGTCGGCTTTCCGGAACCCCAGGGCTTTTACAAGTGGCGCTGGCCACTGCTCTTTCAAAGGAGGAGGGAGACAGGGCTGATGGATGAGTGAACTTGCAGCTGACACTAGGCCTTGAGACCTATGGGATCATTCTGTGCTGCAGCGAGGCCCTGCCAGCCTCTCCAGATGTGGTGAGCCCATCCTATCTCACTCGGAGGGGGCCAAAATCGGATCTCAGCGGGAGTCCGGAGAACACAGCAGGCGTCCTGAAGCTCCCCCTCCCTCGGTGGAAGTCGGCTGAAGCAGCTCCTGAGGACAGGACCCCTGGGGGTTTGGGCCTGGGACAGGACGAGACACCCGCGGCCCCCTCTCCCACGCCGCCCCAAACAGGACCCAGGATCCAGCTGCCACCGTGGCTGCAGCAGGAGCATCCCGGCCGCCGCGTGGCGGTGGCGATATTTAAAGGGGACGCAGCCAATCTCTCAGAAGTGGAGCGGGAGTCGTCTCAGCCAATGCGCATGCGCGAGGCGGGAGCGGTTTCTCCCATCACAGTGGTTCCCACGGTTGTCTTAGAAACCAGTCCCCGAGGCTTGGCAGAGCAGGAGCCCTCCGTGGCAGTGCTTGGGTGTCGAAGCTCTGAGGCTAAGGCCTCACCTCTCCATGAGTCGAAGGGAAAGTCTCCGGATGCCAGGAGTCGCAAAGGGCGGACCATTATGATGAAACCCCAGGCGGAAACGGGGAAAGCAGCACGGGATCCCAGCCTCAGGCCTGCACGGACGGTGTTGGTTGGGGTGAGTCTCCCCAAAGTCGTGCCGCCGTCTGTGATCTCGAGGACGGTTCGGCCTGCGTGCCCCTGGGCTGCTCTCTCACCTGAGGGTCTTTCTCCTCCAGAGCAGAACCCCGCAGCCTGAGGGGTTGCCTGGAGGTGTGTGTTTCAATGACTCTGCTGTATGACTCCGTGGGTGTGTGTTTGTGTGTGTGTGTGTCGGTGTGTGTGTCTCCCATTCTCTTTTCTCTCCCTGTCTCTCAGTCTCTGCGTGTTTCTTTCCCACCCTCTGTGGGTTTGTGTGTGTGTGCTCGTGTGCGTGTTTGTCTTTGGCTGAATGTGCCCTGTGCGCCACAGAGCGGTTTCTCACATGACGGTCTGTCTTTGCTCAGCCTCTTTCTGCGTCTCTGCCTGTTTCATGAGGCTGGTTGTCAATGCTTTTCGCCGCCTCCAATCCGCTTTGGGTGTGTGAAAGCCTGGCCCACGTGAGGAGATGCTTCGGTCCCAGAGCAATTGAAGTCTCATCCCCATCCTGAGCGGCCTCTTTTCTAGGATCAAGATGAACACACTTCAGACGAGGACAAGAGTCCCACAGGAGCTCTTTGTCCCACAGGAGAGCAGCGGACCCACGTCAGAGAAGATGCTTGAGTCTTTTCACGGCTCTTCTCTGAGAAATGAAGCCACACCACGATACAGTCTGCAAGAGGAACCCGGGAATGAGAGATGGCAAAACTCCCTGTCCCTGGAATGCTGGCATCCCTGCACAAGCCACCCTTTTGGAACACCACCCCTTATGCCCGTGGCCGTGGCACGGTTCTGTATCCTGCCTGAGCTCCGGCCTCTGATCTGTCCTCACTCTTGCTCTGCCTCCCCTGTTTCTCAGGGGCCTGGATGCCTCTGGCTCTGGCCAAATGCCTTCAACAAAGATGACTTCCCACTCCGTCAGGGAGACACGTCCTGGAGACTCGTGTCGAGATTGTTTCTCTGTCCAAACGTCTTTCTGGTTGATTGGGCAGGTCTCATGACCCGGGAGCTCTTGGCTTCCTTAGTTGTCTCAGACAGAGAAGCTTCCTTCTCCACGTTTCTCCTCATGGGTGGGTGGATTGCCTAGAATGAGCGCTAGGCGACCGTGACTGGCCTTGTCTTCCAAGACAGGTGGTGTCGCATTTCCTCTGCACTTCCTGTCTCATTTTTGAGGGACATCCTCTCCTGTGCTCCTGGGTGGACTGACTCCCTTGAACTTATGGCCGAAATGAATGACAGGGAACCAAAGGGACTGGGCTAGGGCTGGGGGCTGGGGCTGGGGCTGGGGCTGGGTGCAGCCGAAGTTGCCTCAGGGCTACCAGGTTGGTGGAGGTTTGGGGGTGTTGCGAGTTTTGCAGAAACCCCTTTGCTCCTCTGGTAGGCATTTGAAAACGTGGCTTGGGTCAGGCACAGGCGGCCCCCCCCAACCCCCGGGTCCCAGGTGTTCTTTGATTTTCCTTGGCATTGATGGAAAGGTCACCCGTTTCCCCCTTCCACCGGCACATGCCTGGACACCACCCTTTGTTTCACCGTCGCCTCGTATGCCTCCGGTGACACACATTAACACCAACTGCTGTGGGATTGGCCAGTGCCACGCGTGGTCACATGGTCTCCCCCTCGGATTCGCCTCTGTTCCTCTTTGCAGGTGTCCTGTAAAGCGCGGTCCGCTTTTCGGAACCCCAGGGCTTTTAGAAGCGGGGCAGGCCACTGCTCTTTCAAAGGAGGAGGGCATTGAAAAACACACCCCCAGGCAATCCCTGAAGCTGTGATGTTCTGCTCTCTACGAGAACGACCCTCGGGTGAGAGAGCAGCCCAGGGGCACGCAGGCCGACCTGTCCTAGAGATCACAGACGGAGGCACGACTTTTGGGGAGACTCACCCCAACCAACACCGTCCGGGCAGGCCTGAGGCTGGGATCCCGTGCTGCTTCCCCCATCTCCGCTGGGCTTTCCTCATGGTACTTGGCCCTTTGGGACTCCTGGAATCTGGGGACGTTCCCATCGACCCGGTGAAGAGGTTAGGCCGGAGCCTCAGAGCCCGGAAACCCAAGCACAGCCACGGAGGGCTCCTTCTTCACCCAGCCTCCGGGACTGGTTTCTAAGACAACCGTGGGAACTACTGTGACTGGAGAAGCCACTCGCGCCTTGCGCATGCGCGTTGGGTGAGCCAACTCGCGCTCCGCTCCTGGCAGTCAGGCTGGGTCCCCTTTAAATACTGCCACCTCTGAGCGCGGCAGCAGCGAGGCTCCTGCTACCCCCGCGGTGGCGGCTAGACCCGGGGTCCAGTTTGGGGCGGCGTGGGAGAGGGCGTCGCGGGTGTCTTCTCCTGTCCCAGGGCCAAACCCCGAGGAGTCCTCACCTCAGGTCCTGCTTGAGCCGACTTCCACCGAGGGAGAGGGAGCTTCAGGATGCCTGCTGTGTTTTCCGGACTCCCATTCAGATCCCATTTTGGCCCCCTTCGTGTGAGATAGGATGGGCTCACCACATCTGTTCAGGCCGGCAGGGCCTCGCTGCAGCACAGAATGATCCCATAGGTCTCAAGGCCTAGTGTCAGCTGCAAATTCACTCATCCATCAGCCCTCTGCCTCCCTCCTCCTTTGAAAGAGCAGTGGCCAGCCCCGCTTCTAAAAGCCCTGGGGTTCCGGAAAGCTGACCGCGCTTTACAGCACACCTGCATAGAGGAACAGGGGCGAATCCGAGGTGGAGACCATGTGACCACGTGTGGCACTGGCCTATCCCACAGCAGTTGGTGTTAATGTGTGTCACCGGAGGCATACGGGGCGACGGCGAAACAGAGGGTGGTGTCCAGGCATGTGCCGGTTGAATGGGGAAACGGGTGAACTTTCCATCAATGCCAAGGAAAATCGAAGAACACCTAGGACCCGGGGGGTGAGGGGCCTGTGCCGGAGCCAAGCCACGTTTTCGAATGCCTACCAGAGGAGCAAAGAGGTTTCTGCAAAATTCGCCCCACCCCCAATCCTCCACCGCCCTGGTAGCCCTGACGCAACTTCGGCTGCGCCCAGCCACAGCCCCAGCCCCAGCCCCAGCCCAGTCCCTTTGGTTCCCTGGCATTCGTTTCGGCCAGAAGATCAAGGGAGTCAGTCCACCCAGGAGCAGAGGAGAGGATGTCCCTCATGAATGAGACAGGAAGTGCAGAGGAAATGCGACACTACCTTTCCTGGAAGACAGGGCCTGTCACGGTCGCCTAGCGCTCATTCTAGGCAATCCACCCACCCATGAGGGGAAACGTGGAGAAGAAGGAAGCTTCCCTGCCTGAGACACGAATGGAAGCCAGGAGCTCCCAGGTCATGAGACCTGCCCATTCAAGCAGAAACACGTTTGGATAGAGAAACAATCACGACACGGATCTCGAAGAAATGTCTCCCTGATGGACTGGTAAGTCATCTTTGTTGAAGACATTGGGCGTCAGCGAGAGGCATCGAGGCACTTGAGAAACAGGTGAGGCACAGCAGGAGGGAGGACAGGGCAGACGCCGGCGGCCAGGCAGGATATATCATCGTTCCACTGCCAGGGTCATAAGGGGTGGGGTTCCAAAACGGTGGCTTGTCCAGAGAGGCCAGCGTTCCATTGACAGGGATTGTTTCCATCTCCCATTCCCAGCTTCCTCTTCCAGACCGTATTGTGGTGTGGCTTCATTTCTCAGAGAAGAGCCATGAAAAGATACAAGCATCCTCTCTGACGTGGGTCTGCTGGTCTCCTGCGGGAGAAAGAGCTCCTGTGGGGCTCGTGTCCTCATCTGCAGTGTGTTCATCTTGATCTTAGAAAAGAGGCCGCTCAGGATGGGGATGATATTTCAATTGCTCTGGGACCGAAGCATCTCCTCACGTGGGCCAGGCCTTCAAACACCCAAAGCGGAACCGCGTTGGCAAAAAGGATTGACAACCGGCCTCATGACCCTGGCAGAGAGGCAGAAACAGGCTCACCAAAGACAGTCCGCCATGTGAGAAGCAGCTTTGTGGCGCATAGGGCACATTCAGCCAAGGACACACACGCACAAGGGGAACACACACACAAACCGACAGAGAGAGGGAAAGAAACACACAGAGACTGAGAGACAGAGAAGAGAGAATAGGATACACACACACACACACACACATACACACACAGACACACACACAGAGTCTTACAGCAAAGGCTTTGAAACACACACACCCAGGCAACCCCTGAGGCTGTGGGGTTCTGCTTTCAACGAGAACGACCCTTCGGTGAGAGAGCACCCCAGCGGCACGCAGGCCGTCCTGTCCTCGAGATCACCACGTCATGACTTTTGGGGAGACTCACCCCAACCAACACCGTCCAGGCAGGCCTGAGGGAGGGATTCCATGCTGCCTTTTCCGGACTCTGTGTCGGGTTTCCTCACCCTGTTCAGCCCTTTGTGACTCTTGGCATCCGGAGACTTTCCCCTCACCCCAGTGGAGAGGTCAGGCCGGATCCTCAGAGCCTTGACACCCAAGCACTGCCACGGAAGTCTCCCCCTTTGCCAAGCCTCGGGACTGGTTTCTAAGACAACTGTGGAAACCACTGTGAAGGGAGAAGCTGCTCGTGCCTCGCGCATGCGCATTGGCTCGGCCGACTCGTTCTCTCCTCCTGGCAGTCAGGCTGCATCCCCTTTAAAGAATGCCACCGCTGAGAAATGACCCTCAGATCTCCCTTCCTGAATTTCTTTAGGGAAAGCAACAACCATCCCTCTAAGCCATGGGTTTTCATGGGGAGAAAGGAGAGGACTAGTTGTCTGAGAGGGAAACTGCTTAAGGCTGCAGACTAGGAAATGGGATTCCAGTTTTAAGATAGCTCCTTTCTGGACCTCAGTCCTTCACCTAGTCACCTAGTCACAGAGTGGATTGCCTCTAAGGATACTTAGGGGAAAAGGAACCAAATTCGGGATGGTTCTCCTTGCTTTAAGCCTTGATGGGAGACGGGGAGGCCAACCCTTCTCTGCAGACGGTGATCCTCACTAGACAGAGGAGCTCCAAACCTGCCCATCTTATCCCATGCACCGACGGTGCCTGGCCTGGCTCCAAACTCCCGAAAGGAACTATTTTACAGGTGCCAAAAAGGGGACAGTGTTGATAATAATAATAAAATGAAACAATCTGATTGGGGCATTGCTGGATCAGAAAATGTGTGACCTTTTTAAAGTTAAATTGTTAAAAAATTTTAACTATTAAACATTTTAAATATTAAGCCTGATCTGTTTGGTAGCCCTGGAGCAGGGCTGAGGCACAGAGAGAAACGTTTCCTTCAGCCAAGTTGTCTGTGTCACACTGATTTATTTTTGTTTTATTTGTGGATTTCTTAATGGACCCAATGGTGGTTCCTCTTTGCACCCCTCGGGTTGACAGGCAATTCCTTCCTAGCCCAGGTCTCAGCTCTGGTTTAGTTTTCATAACTTTTGGGGGTCCAGGGAGCCATGAGACTGGAGATAGAAAACAGAAGTGCACTGGGGCGGTGGGTCTGCCTTGGCTTACCCCCAGATTTCTGGATTCCAGGTGCCTTGCTCCAGTCCCCGCCCCATCCTAGGCTCAGGATTCTCTCCCACCCTACTAACCACTGGTCCGGTCAAAGCCCAAGCTGCTGCCAGCCGCCATGTTATCTCCCAGCCTGGCTAGGGTGCCTGCTAGCCAGCAGTGGCTATGGTGGTGTGCAGAGTGAGGGTGAGTTTTTGTATTGACTGCCATTCCGTTTACCTCAACAAGTATGTTTGGGCAACCATTCTGTGCCAGGCAGCAGACAGAGTCCCTGCACTGCAGGAATTCCTAGTCCTGTGGGCAGGGGTGTGTGGAGGATGGCACATGGTGGTTAGCCTGGTCCAAGGGTCTCCACTCCCGTCCTAGCATCCTAGAGATCCTGGAGGCTAGGTTGGCCACAGAGACTGAGTTCAGGACAATTCCTTCACGCAGTTAACGAAGTTATCTGTAACTCCCTGGTTAAAACACACACACACACACACACACACACAAACAGAAAAACTGGCAGTCATGGGAGGTATTTCCCCACTGGGCTGGTTGGTAGCATGGGAAGAACTGTGGACCCCTGGCCGAGTGGCACCTGGAAGGAGGCTGACATAAGAGTGGTGTAGCTGTGAGTGGGAGAAGTGAGATCTAGTGGAGTAAGTCCATGTTCCCTGTTCCTAAAGTCAAATTCTCCCTGAAAAGACCCAGGGCAGCACTGTTAGGGAGCTGAAGGAGTCCCTCTGTGCCCAGAGGGAATTAAGCCACTGAGGCCTCAGAGAAGGAGGGCGGGTGGGGAGGACTACCTCTCCAAGCCCCCATCAGAGCAGGCCCAATACTTGGAAATTCACTCCTCAGTCCACCAGATTCTGGTCCCATCCTACAACCCCACCAGGGCACAGGAGGCCCACATAAAAACAAGCTTTATTTGGCCAAATTAACTCACTTTCCTGGATTACCTCACTTATTGGAAAGCGAAAGTACACCCCATGCTCCTCGCCCTGCCCCTGCCTAAACCTCTTTATCTCTGAAGCCCGCTGTTTGAGACCTAAAAATTAGGGTTCAAGAGAAACGCTGTAGGACTACAGGAGTGACACGACAGTCCGTATCCTACAGTGCACTAAAAGCCAAACTAAAGGCTGCTTCCTCGGTGGAGAGTCTCAGGGTGATGTGGCAGGACTGTTAGCCGCTTCTCATTTTACAAGCCCCTTGTCCACAGTTGTCTGCACCAGCCCCTCACAAAACTGGTTCTCACCTTCTGGTGGGTGCTGGTGTTTACCCCTTTCCTCCCACTATCTGTTCAAACTGAGCCCACCCACCCTCCATTCACCTCCCCTCCTTAAGGCTCCCTGAGCTCTATTTACCCTTTTGTAACTCCATCCCTCCATAAGTACACAACTCTCCTAGCTGGTTTCCTAGAGGGCAGATACAGTGTTCCCAGTTGGTCCTCTGCAGATATCTGTGAATAAGTCTCTCCCAGCACCTACATATAAATATGTCTGTTCTAGACAGACGGGCCTAAGTCCCAACGTAAACACATCACAAGATAATTACACCTTATATACATACAGATCTCTCTATAGAGTTATATTTGATAGTGTCTATAACTCTAGAGAGAGATTGAAGCATGCACATATAGGACTATAATTATGTCTATTTTTATAACTATGCAGTTATAAATAGATATGCCTATATATAGTGATAATAATATAGAAATATCTCCATAGCCATATATGGCTCTAAGTGAATGCTCTAACTACTCTATTTCACAATCAATAAGTATATATCTCCTGATACATAATTCTAACGATATACGTTTTTATCTATATAGCTGTTCAGAGATATAAATCTGTTAGGATATCAAATGTACATAAAGCCGGATGGCTGTAAGAGAGTCGTATATTTTCCCATATATAAATCTGCTCCTATAACTACTGTATATGCACAAATACAATGGAAATAATTATATTTCCCTCAAACGTAAATCTGTAAATACAACCACAGCACATTTAGGTACGGTTAGACATAGAGCAATATTTCCTAGACATCAGTCTGTCAGTAGAGCCACCAGTGCCTCCAAACAGAGAGTTATAGAGGGAGTTATAAATAAACTCTCCAGATGTGAACGGATCAGTAGAACTAGATGTAAACATGACTCCAAGCCGTTCCTCCTCTTCCTTCTTCTTCTTCTTCTTTGTAAGATATTCCTGAAGCAAGCCCAGTCATATAACAGGATGCAGAGTTGTCTGGGTACTGGTATTTTTTCCCCCAAGGAGGGTCGGAGGTCGCTGGACTTTGGGAAACTGTGCAGGAGTGGGTAGGGGACAGTGCCCGCTCCCAACACAGCCCAGAAGCCCCTTCCGTCTGTCTCCTGGTGGCTGAGAGCTCGAGCAAGTGGAGAGGCCTAAGGGAGAAAAATGAAAAAGTAGAGTCTGGCTTGAGTCGTTTGGCCCTTCGGCCTAAAACCCTCTCAACAGGGAAGCCCCGAACAGGCGTCGGAGCGGAGAGAGCCCACGAGGCCCAGAGGCTGGGGGAAAGGGGCTGCAGGCTGGGCTGTGGAGGCTGAGCAGAGTCGCCAGCCGGTGTCTGACCGCCCGGCCCCCCATCGCCCGGGGCCGCTGCCTCGCCGGTGGCCTGGAACACAAAACCCGGGCCCTAGCCCTGCGCCCTGTGCTCAGCACTTCCACTGGTCTTATTTTATTGCTGTTTTGTCCAATTAGGTATCACAGCGTCCTCCACCCGCTGTTGTTTTCAAATACGAGTGCACCCAGGGCTTTCTGAATGCGTGTGTTTGTGTGTGTGTGTGTGTGTATGTGTGTGTGTTGGCTTTAAATAAGTGACTCAGTGGATAGTGTATTTCTCTTTTCAGACCAAATGGGTCACCGGCTACTGAAAAAGAATCCAGACCTCTGAAAGGGTTCGTGACAAATTTTTTAGAAGTTCTCACGCTCATTTGTTACGATGATTTCCTTTTCTTTTTTCTCTTTTAAAAAAGTTGGCTAATTTGTGTTTCTATATTCCTATTTAATTTTGTTTTTATTGGGGGTACAAATGTTTTTAAAGGAGGGATTTCGTTAGACTCGAAACTGTGGGGTGGCTTCCTCTCTAGCAAACTTACTATTTCTACGCCTTTGATTCCCATCTCCCTCAAGAAAACAAACTAATTAAATGACCAGAAAACTGTACCTGGAGAAAATGAGGTATATGTTGCAGGATCCAGGACCGCAGTCTTTGCTAGCTTCATGAAAAATCGGCTGGTCTCCAAACTCACGAAGGAAAATTCAAGGCGCCTCAACTCCTCCTTTTAAATTTTTTAATAAAGAGCCTAGAAAGGGAACTTTCCCTGGGCCTGCCGGAGCCCCAGCCTGGCTCTCCCAACTTCCCAGCGGCCACAAGTGTTTTTCTGCTTCTGTTCGGGCACCCCATCTTCCCGGGCATCTCTGAGCTCCTGCCGGATCAAGGCTGTGGTCATCACCCCATTCATCTCTGGCGCTTGGCCTGAGCCTGCACATTTGGCCTCCTTCTTAAAACAGGGGCTCCTAGAGAGTCCCAAAATCCATTAACCATTCCCATATGTGGGATCCCTTCCCTGATCACACAAAGCAAAAGCCTGAGAAAAAAAAGCAATAAAGAGTGGCCTCCTGGCTCTCCTTCCCCTCTTCCGTCCCTTGTCTGGGAAAGGGTTTACCAACCCCAGCCCCGCCAAGAGCATATTAAGAAGCTTTCTTCCTCCCTTCCTTTCCTATCTCCCCCTCAGATGCTGTGATCCTGACTCCTTCTGTCTCCACCTCAAAATATTTCCTCTTGCATTTTATTGTTATTCTGTTATGGAGGGACTGTTAACTACTGTTTTATTATTATTATTCATTATTTATTGTTATTATGATTGTCGTTAGAGATTTGTTCACCACCGTTCAAGGGACAGCAGCCTGGCCCAGGGGGAAGCCTGCCTCTCCCTCTCTGTCTGTCTCTCACACACACACACATACACACCCACACACCCTAACACAGTGCACACTCACGCATATATGCTCACAAATGCCTGCTGTGTTCAGGCCCCTGCACAGGAATCCGAAGAGGCAGGCATCCTACCCCAGCACGCAAATAACACACTGCCCACGCACACCAGCATTCAGGCAGAACACCACCCCCAGACCAACGCCAAAACGCACACGCACCGAGCTTGCAAGGAAAGGAAAATACATAAAGAATCCCTTCTCTCCAAAACCTAGAGGGGCGAGTCAGGCCTCTGTCTCTTCCCCCCAGTCGCTTTCACTTTCTCTTTTTTTTTTCTCCTTGTTTACAGCTTCAGAGAGCTCAAGGCCCATAAATCTTGAGGGGTCTACAGAGCGCAGAGCACATTTGTATGCATCGTTAGGACTCGCTAATACCTAAGCCCATTAAGGAGCGTGTATGCGCGTGGTTTCCGGTGTGTATTAACTTATAGTTAAATTCTGGAGGAAAAGGCATTGTGAATTAACATATACCAAATCCATCATGGGCTTTTGTCATATCAGATTAGTCAGTCATGGGTTTGGGGGAGCAACTTGCCTGGGTTGAGGTGTACCCACCCTTCAAACTTTGTGGAGCAGGCCCCGGGGTCTTGGGAAACACGAAGGCATTCCTATCCAGCCCCAGTCATTCGGATCCCCCAGGCCTAGCGGCTGCACACCTGTGAGATGGCGGAGGGACTGCAGACCCGGGTGCGGGAGGCCAGTGCCAGCGAAGAGAGGTGGGCAAGGGAGGCCCCTCCAGCGTCCTGTTGGGGTTGAGTTGGGGCGACTCGTCCCATGGCCGCTGGGTCGTCTGGTTTCCGCTTTCCGAAAGAAATGAGAGGAGAGGCAAGTGGAGTCGCTGAACTTTGATTAAACCGTAGAGAAGACAGTGGGAGGAGGGAAAAAAAAAAGATCGGAGAAGGAGGAGGAGGTGGCCAAGAGATCGAGGAAAGGAAATCCTAGCGGCTTCGGGGAAATTGGAAATCTCTCCAAGGGGCTGAAAGCTGGAAGTTGTATGAAGGTGTTCCTTTCCCACACCCCAGCTACTCCACCCCAGTCGAAGAGGCTAATTCCGGACCTCTTATAAAAATAAGAAAGAAAAGGTAAAGAAAAAGAAAATCTAATTATGTGGCATGTTTCAGCCAGGTGTTCCTGGTTCCAATGACTCAGACCCTATTGGAGCCCTGAGGATCTGGATAATTGGGCCTGCATAGACAGAGATGAAGGATGCCATTTCTAAACGGAGGAAGGGGAGAGGAAAGTCCATCTCTTGGGGTCTTGTAGAAAATGCCAAAGACCAACCAAGCTAAATTATTGTGTCCGTGTAGATCTATTTCCCTATTTACATACAGCAGGCTGTGGGGGTGGGGGGTGAGGGAAGGACCAGGATGGAGCTCGCTGGCAGGAGAGAAAATGCGCCCCCCGGCCCTTTGCGGGAACAGCCAAGGGGCCTCCTCAGCTCGCAGCTCAGGCGGCCGCGCGGCTGACCGGTCCGGGGCCATGGGCCCAGGCCAGGCTGGGGGAGGTGAGGCGGAGGCGGGCCCTCCCCGGGCACTGTGAACTTTAGCTGGGCCGCTGCCTGTCAGCCCCAGAAAGCATTAAAGGTGAAGCAGCCCGCGCCAGCCTCCGCAGCCGCCTTTGTACACGTGATTTATGACTTCAATCTTGGTTCACCAAGAGTTCACATGGCTTTCGCTGCTGTTGAAGGTTAAAAGATGGTCTTCGCTTGACAAGTTGGACTATTGAAAATTCCTTCTTCTTCTTTTTTTTTATTTTAGAAGCGAAGAGCAGAGGCTCAGGAGAGAAAAAAATTGGGGAGGGGCGGGGGACAGGGGTTGCAGGTGGGCCAAAATGGTAGGTCAGGAAGGTTTGTCTTCCTATATTTAGGATTTTTTGTTGTTAGGATTTGCGTGCGTGTTGGGGAGAGGGTAGAGAATAAGAGGGAGCTAGGCAAGAGATGTAAAGATCTCTCATATTTAGAGGCCAAAGGAGTGAAAAAAAATCGTGCTTCCACAGTTAATTATCTGGGTAACTTGGGTCACACCCCCTAACTGATCCTCCTCTAGAGACCGGAAATGGGACAGGTAAGGGAGAGAGTTTGGGTAAAGGGTAAGGTTTGTGTGCTTCTCACTGGGTGTACTTGATCATCCACCTTACCTGGGTAACTACTTTTTTTTTTTTTTTTGGAAATGGGGTCCAGCTCTGTTTCCCAGGCTGGAGTGTTGTGGCACCATCATAGTTCACTGAAGCCTCAAACTCCTGGGCTCAAGTAGTCCTCCCACCTTAGCCTCTTAAGCATGTGAGACTTCAGGCATGTGCCACACCGCCAGGCTGGGTACCTGCTTTTCAATGTGCTTCTGCACCCACAGATTTGGAAAAGGGCATTTTTAGGCAGCAGTCTTTCAACTCTCTTCATCCTGTAAGTTTAGCCTGCCATTTACATTTGATGCACATGAAGAGGCTAATGGGAAGGAAATCTATAGAACTGGAAATGGAAGTCCTTTCAAATCCCAAATTCCCTTGGTCTAAGAGCCAGTCTCTCTTCTTTCTAGCATTTTGACAATGGTCGTGCCACAGCAGAGGTGGTGGTCAAAGATCTCCCCAAGACCAGGATCTAAGGCCCCTTTGTGATCTAAGGCTCTGAGTACTTGGAGAGACAAAACTCACTCCTTCTTTGTAGATTCAGAGAGACAGAGAGAGAGAGAGAGAGAATGAGGAGATACCTTGAAACTGAGGGTCTGCTTGGCTTTTCGAGGTTTTTTTTTAAGATATGTTTTTTTAAAATTTTCTGGAGTGGGAATTGGGATTGTGTGCACTGGGAAGGGGAACAGCAGAGAGCTGGGTCTGGAGTTGGGTGTGCCTCCCTAGCCCTATTAAGGCCCCATCTCCATTACCAACGCTAGGTAAATGTCTTCTTAAGAGATAGAGCCAGCCCCTCAAATCCAGATCTGGGAACCAAAGGCATCCACGCTAGAAGGGACACTCCCTCCTTCTCTTTCTACATAGCATTAGAGAGGTATTTTCCCACCATGTGAGGACTTAGATAAGAGAAGGAGAAGAGCCAGAAAGATGTCCACATCTCGCCGGGACACCTAGCACCAGGCCCTCCTACAGGGGACCTCATATGTAAATAGCAGAATGGGGAGCAGAGAACAGAGAGACCCCAGAAATCCAGAGTCCAGGTTCTGAGGTCACTTTGGCAGGAATGGTCCTCTGGCCTTATGAAGAACAGAGGGGCAATATGGCACTGTTTAGAAGCTCAGGGGGTGGTAGCTGTTAGGAGGAATCAGCCAAGGAAGCTAATGCATGTCTTCCAGGTTCTGGTTTGGAAGCAGAGGGATGAACTTAATGGCCTCTGGAAGTAATGTCTGTACTGAAGTCCCCTTCTCACACTTTCTGACTGTGTTCCTCCCTGGGAAATAATTCCAGTGGGCTTGTGCTTATCTGCAAGTCTGGGGTAATTATGAATTATTAATTCATCATTAAGACTTGATTGTGACCATTGCTCTCCAGTGGACCCATTTATCTCCTTCTTTGTGAGGCAGAGGGCAGCCTCTATTAGCCCGTGGTTTCTGTAACAGGCAAACTGAGGCCAGCCCCTCTTGAAGGCAGTCCTTGAACTCTGCCCTAGGTGGGATGGTTGCCTCATTACCAGTCAAGTCATGTTGCACCTCAGAGTATTTGTGCGATAGAGCCACCTCCCACAAACTTTGGATTTCAAAGTGCTTTGTAGGCTCCTGGAGAGATAGAGTAGGGGATTGGGAGTGAGACTCCAACAGGGGAAGAAACTTGGCCAAGCTGTGTGTGGAGACAGGAATTAAGGCGAGGTAGGAGGACTCCCAGGCACAGTATCCAAGCAATCTGGGATCAGGAATGGGCATTTTGCCTTCCTTACCCTAAGGAGATGCTAGTCTCCCTCAACTCCCTGGGGACCCCTGAACACACATCTGGCCCCTTTTCCTGACCTCTCTTCCCCCACCAGCCTCTCAATCGAGAAGCACAGGTTTCAAGACACATCATCCCCTCCAATGGTTAGGGGTGGGAAAGTCAGATCTGCCAGTTGTTTCACATCTGTGAGAGGCCTGGAGAGGGAGAAAACTGCTCCTATCCCATGAGGTATTTCCCATCTAAATCCCTGCTATAAGCTCACCTCCCCCAGCACTGAAACAGTTCTCTTCATCCTTTTTTTCCCCCTCTTCTTCCCTCTGGAACCACAGACAGGGAGATTGAGGGCGGGAGAAGCAGCTCCCAACAGCTGTACCTAGAGGAAGAGACAGAAGTAGGAAATGAGGGGAGAGTGGCTTAAACCTGTTATTTCCCACAAGGTTTATCTCCATTCTTCAAACCCAGGTCAACACCCTGAAACCAGAGCCATGGGAAGCCCTCTCTCCTTGTTCCCCCAACTCTCTCTCTCTCACAGAAAAGGAGCCCTGTGTCCCTCCCTGAGGCCAAGGGGCTGCTCTAAAAACTGCTCTAAGAACACTACCACTTTCTACAGGACACCTGAGGGCCCAACACCCATGTATCTCTCAGTGCCTGTCTGGTCCAGAGGGAGCCAGTGGCTCTTGCCAGCACATCACCATTTTGTGCCCCACGAGGGGGTGGTCCATGGAGTCATCTCAACTTTCAGCCCAGACCTCACTCACTCTTTCTCCAAGCCACGCCAACATTCCTTGGTCTCTTCCAAGCCACGAGACAGGTAGGAAGCCCATTCAGAGGGTCCCCTGGAACTGGCTAATATAGTTTAATTTACTGTTTGGTGGTAAATAAAGAGAACTTGGGAAAAAAGGGAAGGAGCAACTGTGCCTAGCGTCCTTCTCAGCCACCCCTCCCCTGGACATTGGCTTTCTCCTTGAAACAGTGCACTGTTGTTCTTGGACAACCATTCCCCACCATCTTCATTGGAAGGGCTTGAGTTTCACCCTCCGTTCACCCCCATTAATCACCCCAGCAGCTAAACATCACCCATTCCCCTCTGGCCCTTTCTCTTCTTGCCCTTAGTATTCATGGTGGAGCATTCCTCACTACTTCATGCTCACAAAGACCCCTCCTCTGACACGAGGTCCCTCCCACTCCCCAACCACCCAGTCCACGATGGGCACTGCTCACTGTTCTGGATGTTCCAACTGCCGGCACCCACTCCTGGACCCCATTCCCCCACTCCCCAGCTATCTCCATAGCCACTGCCCCCTTCCCATGCACGTGTTGGCTTACCACACCCTCCTTCAGGTACCTCCTCTTAGCCCTACAAACCCTCTTCAGTCTTTCCCAGCCACCATTCTGCCCTCCATGCCCTATGCATCTGTAGCCCTTGTCTGCTTCCCTATACTTCTCCTTGCTTCTCTCTTCTTTCCTTCCCCAAGACATTCCGTAGGCACTTCATATGGTTGACCTGAAGCCCTTCCCTTCTGGCCCTGAGAAAGTGAGAGGCAGTGTACCACAGGGGTTAAAAGCATGGGTTTGTGATTCAAGTCCCTGATCTGACACTCGCTAGTTGTACAAACTTGGGCAAATTACTTAACCTCTCTGAGCCATCCATAAAATAGACATACCCACTGACCTTATAGAGTTGTTCTGTAGATCAGATTGAATTTTATGTGCATAGATCCAAGCATTCAGCAGGGGCTTGATAAGTGGTAGTTATTGTGTTACAAGCTTCTTGTGAAGAAAGAGAGATGTTCTTCAGATTCTAAAAAGTGAAGGAATTGCCTCCTCCAGCACCAGAGAGGGAGGGATAAAAATTACACAGTCTTGCAGATAAGCAGGGCCCATTTACCAGGCAGTGATACTCTTCTATTAGCTCTAGAGGGTCTCAACTTTCACTGCACATTGGAACCCCCAGCGAGTTTTTTTGTTTGTTCATTTTTGTTTTTGAGATGGTGTCTTGCTCTTGTCGCCCAGGCTAGAGTGCAGTGGCACATCTCGGCTCACTACAACCACTGCCTCCTGGGTTCAAGCAATTATCCCTTCCTCAGCCTCCCGAGTAGCTGGGATTACAGGTGTTTGCAACCATGCCCAGCTAATTTTTGTATTTTTAATAGAGACGGGGTTTCACCATGTTTGCCAGGCTGGTCTCAAACTCCTCACCTCAGGTAATCCACCCGCCTCGGCCTCCCAACGTGCTGGGATTACAGGTGTGAGCCACCATACCCAGCCACAAGTTTTTTTTAAAATACTGATGCCTGGGTCCCACCTCCAGGGATTCCAATTTGTTTGGCCTGTAGTAGGGCCTGGGCATCTGGATTTTTAAAACTCCCCAGGTTGCTAATGTGTAGCCAGAGATTGAGATGCAGGCCCTAGGAAATAATACAAGAGATAAGGGGGAGGGCTGACACTTCTGCCAGAGCAAGGGAGGGGAGGGATGCTCAGCTGAGAGCTGCTTCTCAACCTTGGACATCCCCTCACCAGTGGCACTGCTTCAGTCGGGGAGGTTTTCACTTAGAATTAGCTTCTCTTGAGATCCCAGAATTTCAGAGACTCTCACCCTTTTCATTTCCTGTAGCTATTAGAATTTACAAAGAGGCCACCCAAAGAGGAGACAGAGGAATTGACAAATTGACCTCTAAGAGGCTCATCTCTTATCAGAAAAGCATATTTTCCCCAGACCACCAGTGATAGAAGCAGAGGCAGATACCTCCAGTAGTGGGAAAATTTGTAGTTACATAGTAAATGGAGTTTCTACCTGGTTGCTACAATAATGGGCCGAGCGATTAGGATACAAGTTTCCAGGATCTTTTCCTATATTTCCAAAAAGATAAATCACCCCTAGGAACAGAATCTGCATATTGTAATTAACTGATAAATATTTCATGCCTGGCTCAAACTTTCTCCTCTTCTATTTAATGGCCACAAACTTGAGCACAGAGGAAACAGGAGTGAGGAGAGTGGGGGTTGGCTGTAGTGGGGAGGTTCTACCTTGGCTTCAGGGAGGGAGAAACTGTCTTGGTTAATTATTTACTGTCCTCCTGTTCTTTTAAGAAAACATTGCTCACCTGGAGAAAATCAGGTCCCAGGTGGTAAAGGGTGTGACTTGGGCTTGTTGGCCTCAGCCCTGACCTCTCCCAGGAGAGGCCAGGTTTTGGTGACCCTGGGGGTGCTGGGAACTGCAGGCTTTGGAGTCAAGGGCCCAGTGTTTAAACAAGAGCTCTGTTCTGTCACTTATTAACTGGATAGCTTTAGGTAATTTACATAATTTATGTGAAACTCAGTTTCTTCATCTGTAAAACAGACATAATTTTAACCTTGTAGGGTGGCCTATGCTCAGTTGGCTCTCAATGCATGATAACTATTACTATCAACAGTAACAATGAACAATTAATAGCCCATTGGATTGTACTCTTTCCCTTCCTCAACCCTGCTCCAATGTGTAGGGCACCTAAACTACTGAATGCTTACTGTGAGTATGGTGAATGCCTTAGCTCAATTAATCAACATAATTCTTTGAAGGGAATGTCTTATCATCCCTACTTATCTGTGTTTTGCAAATGAGGGAACAGGGCGTGCAGAAGTTAAATACCCTGCCAGGTGTCACACAACTAAGTGGTTAAGAGCACAGGCTCTGCAGTCTGACTGTGTAGTTTCAAATTTGGGCTCTGCCGCTTAATAATAGACTCTCCTTGACTTACGATGAGGCTGTGTCCCGATAAAGCTGTAGCAAGCTGAAAATATTGTAAGGTGGATATGCATTTCATACACCTAACCCACCAAACATCATAGTTCAGCCTCGCTTACCTTAAAGTGCTCAGGACACGTTCATCAGCCTACAGTTGGGCAAGATCATCTAGCACAAAGCCTATTTTATAAAAAAGTGTTGAATATCTCATGTATTCAACATGAGATATTTATTCATCTCATGTATTCAACATGAGATTCAACATGTTATAATATACTGTACTGAAAGTGAAAAACAGAGCGGTTGTATGAGTATTAGAAGTACAGTATCTAATGAATGCATATCACTTCGGCATCATCATAAAGCTGAGAAATTGTAAGTCAAAGCATCATAAGTCGAGGACCGTCTGTGATCACTGCAGGATGGAACATAAACTGCTTAACCTCGCTAAGCCTCAGTTTCTTCATCTGTAAGTTGGGGATATGAATGGTACCTACCTGAAAGGTAGTTGTGAGAATTAAGTGAGAAATGCGTGTATAGTGCCTGTCTCAGTACTGGCATGTGGTAAGTGCCTAGTAAATGTGAGTTGTCAGTACCATCATCATACTACCCAGCAACTCAGTGCCATGGCGTCTCCTGCTCTTTGGTGGTGTTTGGGAGGTGAGTGAGTGTGAGGGTCCTCCAAAGGTCACAGAGCTGCTCTTTTAACTCCCCCTGACAGACACACACACTTCAGTATCTAGGACTCGGGAGAAAGGACACTAAGCAGATTATGACTCCATTTCAGGAATTAAATCAAAACTCAAGACTATCTCAATTTGGCTTCTGACTAGAGGGAAAGGTTAAAAGGGAGTGAGGAGGCGGCTGGGTGTGCGTTCAGAATTGCAATTGGTTCTGGATCCCACCTCCCAGCCCCTCCACAGGGCCAGGCCCAAGGAGTATCCCCCAGGGGTGGAGGAGTGAAGGAGCCTTAGAACCTGTGTTATCTGAATGTGGGTGAGGTGGGGAGAACATGGTCAAGGAGTTGGGAAATTATCCAGAAACATTTTCCAAAGGGAGATCTTCCCGCATACCACCTCAGCCTGGCTCTGGATTGCAGGGGAACCCCAGAACGGATGGGGTCTGGGGGCTTAAGACAGGTAGGTGGCCTCAGTAGAGGGGAGAAAAAGTCCTGCTGGAGACAGTCGCCTCCCTGGAGAAGGACCTGGGCTAGTGTTCTCTTTAAAGACGTCTAAGCAGTCCTGGTATGCTAAAAACATTATGTGTATGTGTATAAACATATATTCTGTGTGTGAGTAGCCACTCAGCTCTTACTTGGCTTTGCACATTTGGCCCAGATTATTCTGAGCATTGTAAACTAAAAGTGAAATTCGGTTTCTACTTAAGAGAGAGCGTGATTTTCCTCAGTATTATCTCCCGTGCCCCCAACACTCCACCAGGCTTTAAAGGCCATTATACAGAAGGGAGAACTGAGACTCCAGGAGATGGGTGGCTTGTTCAGAATCACAGAAGCAGCGTGGATCCAAGAAGGGATCTGTTCCCAAACAGAAACCAGTGTCTTGGGAGAGTGAGAGCAGAGGAAGCCCGCACCTCTGCCCTAACCTGAGGCTTTGCGCCTCCCGCAAAGCCGAGTGAGTTGAGAGCGCCCAGAAGGCAGACGCTGCGGAGGGAGAGACTCCTGGGCTAGCCAAACAGCAGGGCCTCGGGCAAGAGCGTCACCTGCGCGTCCTCATTCTGCGATTACTGTCAGGGGACCATCCATCAGCGCCGCCCTGGACGCTGGGCCAGACTGCCCGCCGCCCGCACCGACAGGGTCTCTCCAGATCGCATTAGCGTGGGGCGAGGGCTCAGTGCGGCACTGGCTGCTGAGGGAGAGGCGTGGTGGGGAGGGGGGCGGGGCGGGGGGACGGGGACATCGCGGTGGGGCCATTGCAGGGGCAGGGGAGTGGCTGCTTTAGGACCCTCCTCCTTTTCTTCCAATCTCCCGCCTCTGGGATCTAAGGTGGATGAAAGGGGCACTAGAATGGGCGGCTTTTGGGGGGCAGGGGGTGCAGAACACTGAAGGCATCAGGGAAGGATAGTGATGGGGGCAGTTATCAGAAGCAGAGAGGAAGAAATACCTGTAAAGGGGAAAGCCAGAGAAATTGTCTGGGGAGGGGAGAGACTGAAAACGGGGGTGCAGAGATTGGGGGTTAGTGGAAGAAAAAGACTTAAAGGGAAAGGAAAAGAGAAGCTGTAGAGGGAAAGAGAATTGGCAAGGAATTGACGAGAGAGCAGGGAAACAGGAAACCACAGATCGTCAGGGGCTGACAAAACCTTAGAGACAATCTACTGCAGCCCCTCATTCTACAAATGAAGAAATGGAGGCCCAGAGAGGGGAATCCCTTCTCCAAAGACCCACTCCACCTGCTGGCTGGGCAGGCTCTTGACCGCAGGCTCATTCATTCGACCCATGTGTTTTGAGCATCTGCTGTGTGCTGGGCACTGGTCTGCCGAGATGATGCAGGATCAGCTCCTGCCCTCCAGAAGCTACAGTCTTTCCTCAGGGGCTTGGAGAGGCTGAGCATCCAGGAAGCTCCCTCACCCCCAGCCAGGAGGGACTCCCTGAGCCCCACCTCTCCTGGCCACTGAACCTTCCTTGCCCTCTGCTGTTCTGCTTATCTCCTCATGGAGGGTGGCCGTTCCCTGGAAGATCTTCCCTCTCCACTTTCCTGGGGACTCCCCAGGTGTGGAGACAGGTACTCGACAGTTTGGCCAACTTGTTCTATCTCCCACAGCCAACAGCGTAGGCCTAAAAGCAAAGTCCATATTCCTTGCTGGGTTTCACCTCTGGGCATGGACAAATCCCACAGGTTGGACTGAGATCCAATTGAGCTGTGGTAAGGAGGATTGAGGCTGGACATGAAGAAGTACTTCCAGGTCCCACAGTGTGAGATCATTTTCTTGCTGGGGCTTTAAAGTAGCTGTCCTTCTGTGAGCACAGTGTTGGCACCATCTTCCAGGGAAGGACTTGTCTTCCTCAGTCTCCAGTTAGCCTTGTGCGAGGCATTATGCTGGGAATGTTGGGGTTGCAGATACCTGGTCTCTGACCATGGGGTTTCTGCTCTAGACATGGGTGAACTGACATCTCCCTGGCATCCTCCCAGTCACTGCCAGCTCTGCAACATCATGGAACCCCTGAGTCCTTCACAACTCCCAGATCATCTCACCCTTCCTCCTTGCTCTGGGAAGACCGTGTCTGAGTAGTTCCAACCAACCTCTCACCTTAAACCCAGTCCCTGATAATGAGAAGTACCTCCTTAGTCTGGACTTGACCTTCCTTGCTGCCATGGTCCATCAGCAATGACCAGGGCTGAAGCAGCACGTTTTTTCTATAAACACCGCTCCCTCCCAGTGATGCTCACCCAATCCTCGGTGGTCAGGCAGGGAGTGGGGACAGCTTCCTGCCAAGAGCTCTGGAAGGCAGCTCTGCCTCCTCTGCCTGAAGCAAGCTACTGTATACTCTGAGATGGTGGTGTTCATTTTAAAGAAGGGACCATCTTTCCTCCACAGCCAGCTTACATTTGGAGGGAGACAAATGTGAGTTTCCAATCCCAGAATCTTAGCCACTGTACCAATCTCCATGGATGCATGGGATTCAGGAAAGGAGAGAAATGAGCAGAGTGAGGACATGGATAGAATCCATTTCCTACCCCTTGTTCCAGCCCAAGTCCCAGGGAAAGGCCCACAGAGGGCAAGAGAGGTGGACACTGAAAATTCCAGACTAAAGACCAACAGACAGATTTCAACATTATTCCTTCTTGTAGGCAAAGTGATACCTAAGGATCTAACCAAATGAAAAAGCCTGGGAAATAGGCTATTTCTGCACCCCCTGACCCTTCATGCAGAGCAGGATATCGGCTTCAGCCCAGGAGCAATGCTAGAAGTTGAGAGGTTTGGAGTAGACTGTGAAGCAGTTCCTCCAAGGGCATGCCAGATGAGGGGGTTGGAGCACCCAGCCCAGAACAGCATCCAAGGAAGGAGGCCTTGGCAGTAACTTTCTGTCTCTGTATTAACTTCACATACATTGTCTTGTGTGATCCTCAGTGCCAGGTTCAGCACCAGGCACAGAATACATGCTTGCTGTACAAATGCATAAGTGAAGAGCCATGGGAGGAAGGTCAGGATCCTCAATTGCAGATGAAGAAACAGACACACAGAAAGGTTAAATGACTTGCTCAAAGTCACATATCTCATCAGAGACAGGGCCAAGTTTCAGTGGAGAGCCACTTTAGTGGTAGAGGGTGGTAGGGAGGAGGGAGGCAGGAAGGGAGGGAATGAAACATCAGACACCACACTGGGGGAGAGGAGAGCTGTCATCTCTTTCTCTTTGTGAAAAGAGATTACTTCCTGGGAAAGGTGGCATTTAAGACCACACAGTTTTAAAAACGACCCATTGAAGGTTGATTTGTAGCATATGCAAAGTTCTGCCAAAAACATGGACAGGTCAATGAGTAGACGGGGTCATTGAGGATCAGAAAAGAAAGACAACACTGAGAGTCTGGACAGCTAAGCCCCAGAATTTTGCTAGTCTTAAATGCTGGGTGACATCAGGCCAGCCACACCCCTCTCTGAGCCTCTAGAGAATGGAGATGCCAGATGTGGAGGAGGGTACACATGGGCAAGAGGAGGCAGGTCATTGCCTTCAGGGTAGCAATTGGAGGCATCAAGTTCCCACTTCCCTAGACCTATTCTTTGTTGTTACTATTGTTGTTGCTTTCATCTGATTTTAATTGTTTTATGTTTTTTGAATAGGAAATAAATGTACATGGTTCAAAACTCAAAAGGCACCAAAAGTTATACAGTGACAAGTAAGTCTCCCCGGAACCTCAGAACTCCCAGGCCACCCATGTCCTCACTCCATTATAACTGCAGTAACCACTGAATTGTATAACCTCCAAAGGTATTTTCTGCTTCTCCTGGCTTGTACCCTGAGGACACCACAAAACTGAGATGAGCACTGATATTCTGAGGAGACGTGGTACACATGTTTTGGACCCTAGACTGGTGGGGCCTTGGAATACTGAATACTCTCAGTTTCCACTCTGAAAAGATGCAGAAACTTGAGGTCAGGAGAGAGGACATTTCTGCGTGCTTAGAAGCTCAGAAGCCTCGCAGGTGAGAGGATGGAGTTGGGAGCCAGGCAGAGGCAGGAACCCTCTTCGGGGCTCTAGTACCACACTCCCACCCCAGAGCCTCACAGTGCCCACTGGGTTAGCCTGGCTCAGGTATGCGCCCAGTTATGTCCTGCTCAAGTTTTCCAGAGAAAAAGGCCCAGTGCTTCCCCTCCACCACCTGTCACATTGTTGGGAGGCCTTTCTTGATGTCTCACTCTAGTTCCTTCGACTTTAGGTGCAGCCCATGGCTTTTGATTCTGCCCTCAGTGGAGATGGAACATGCTCTTGGAGATGATAGCTTCCAGTGACCCAGGCTCTTCCTCCCACTTGCATACACAATTTTCTTTCAGGCCCTCTAATTCCACCTCAATCTTTTTTCCAGACTTAGAAGACACATGCCTGTTCTTTCAGCTACCCTCCCCCACCTGAATTCCCAGTCTGCCTCCATTCCCAACCACCTCATTCTTGCCCTGCACATCCCTTTGGCATTATTATCCCCAAGTATGCTTTGGTCATGAAGATGGTAAAATCCCAACCTAAAGCCAAGTCCTCCACCAGATTCCAGAGGTAAATCCAGCCTAGTCTCTTTGATAACTGAATCTCTCCATTTTGGGTGATGTCCTAGCCCGACTCTTGAACTTGTGCCCAACACTCGGACTCTCAGATCCTCACACATGGCCTGTTGTGAGATAAGGCACAAGTTCATCCCAAGCCTGGGATGGCCTCCCCTCTGTTCTCTTCTCCAAACCCTCCCCTGGTGAACCTCATCCTTTGCATTTACTCACTAAGCAATTATTATTGAGTACTATTCCAAGTTCTTAGAATACATTGGTGATCAAAACAGAGAAAGAACCCCCACCTGTGTGGAGTTTACATTCTAGCAGAGAAAGACAGATAATGAACAATATTCTTACTAAATAAGTAAATTATATCATATATTAGAAAATGATAATTGTTACAGAAAAGGAATAGATCACGTACAGAAGGATCAGCATGGAGGGGAAATCTGAGGTTTTTAATATGGTTGTCAAGGAGAGCTCACTGCGAATATGGTATTTGAACAAAGACTTAGAGGTGAGAGAGGAAGTTAGCCCCATAGACATCTTGGCAAGAGTATTCCAAGTAGAGGGAGTGGCTGGTGCTAAGGCCCTGAGGCAGGAACATGCCTGGCAAGTCTGTGGGAGTGAGCAAGAGTGGGAGGAGATGGCATCAGAGAGGTAAGGAGGGAACAGACGATGTTCGGCCTCGTAAGTCAACTTAAGGACTTTGCTTTTTACTCGGAGTGAAGTAGAGAGGAAAGACATGATTGGACTTCAGGGTCTTGTTTTGTTTTGAGAGACAGTCTCACTCTGTCACCCAAGCTAGAGTGCAGTGGCACAATCTTGACCCACTACAACTTCTGCCACCCAGGTTCAAGTGATTCTTATGCCTCAGCCTCCCAAGTAGCTGGGATTACAGGCACCTTCCACCATGCCCAGCTAATTTTTGTAGTTTTAGTAGAGACGCGGTTTCGCCATCTTGGCCAGGCTGGTCTTGAACTCCTGACCTCGTGATCCACCCACCTTGGCCTCCCAAAGTGCTGGAATTACAGTCATGAGCCACTGCACCTGGCCTGGACTTCAGTTTTTAAATAGTCTTTTTGTCTTTTGTGTTGAGAATAGATCACAGGGGGCCAAGGGAAGATGCAGGGAGACTTGTTGAAAGGTCATTGCACTAATCCAAGTGAGAAATGTGTGGCTTGGACCAGGATGGCAGCAGTGCATGTGGTGAGAAAGGCCCAAATTCTGGATTTGGTGACAGTTTCCTCTTCCTTGGTTTCCATCCTTTTGCTCTCTTTGCTTCCTCTCTTCTTTTCTAGGTTGTATGTTTTCTCTCTTCTTGAAGACTGAGAGCTCTCTGTGGGTGGGGCTCAATCTCTGTTCCCGGGATCTGGGGCAGGACCCCAGGCAAAGGACAGACAGGCCCCGTGCTGCCTGGGAACAGGCTGACAAGCCACGCAGCTTCACAGCCCTCCCCAATTACAGGGTCCCTGAGCCAAGGGGAAGAGGCTGCTGTTTCTAAAGAGGATGTGATGGACAGTTATTGAAGGTGCTTAGCTGGGGGCTCCACTCTAGTCTTAATCTGAGCTGCCCTCAAGGAAATCATAACCAGCTCTTAAAAACATGTTGAGACCAAAGCTGGTGTGTGTGTTTGAGCGGAGCTTCAGACAGCTACTTAACACTGGGGGCCTCTGGGCTTTTGATTCCTCCACTTCTAGCCTGCCATCTCCCCCCAGCTGGCTGGTGCTTATCAGCCAAGACGTTGTTTAAATCACACTCATTTCCTATAATCATTTCATTTGAAATGCCATCCTCTGCTCCAGAAATTCATCTATCACCAGCCTAGGGGTGTAGTTGAGGAGCCTTGGGGTGATCGCTCCCCATCTCTACCCCTGCCCCCAGTCACCCCTCCTCCCATGACCCATATTCTCAGGTTTCACTCTATAAGAACTACTTCCACTCGGTGTGACAGGGCACTTAGTGCCAGAATTATTTATAACATTGAAATGGCAACAGGGCAATGGAGAGCAGCCCAACCCATGGACACTTTCTCTTTGAAAGCTCGATCAATGGACCTAGATCACTGTTTACTACTTGGTGTCTCGGCCTCTGCCATGTTTCCTGCTGGCTTTGGGGGATGGGGAAACAGGGGTCTGGACCAGGTCAAGGCTGTCCTCAGAGTTTATGATGCTTATAAGCCAGGCCTCCAATAAAGTTATGCCTTCACTGTACCTCTATTCCTTGGCCAGGCACTTCCCTGCCTCAGGTGAGCTCTCTTCTTGGAAATGAACCATTCTTGGGGCTTTTTCTCAAACAGGAGCCCTGTGCCTCCCCCAGGAAAGCTGGTATTATGTCCCTACCACAGTGGCAGAGCTAGGACTTGAGCTGAGGAAGTCATCTGATATGGATCAGAATGGGGATGTAGAAGATTCTGGGAGTTCTTCCGAGGAAGGGCTTGAATTGGCCCCACCCAGTCTGGAGTGGAGGTAGAGGGATGGATGAATTCACTTCTTAAGGACTGAAAACCTTTTTACCATCCTCTTCCTCCCCAGCCATAGCCAATTACTAGTTGTCCTAATTTGAAGGCTCTGTTGTCTGGACTGGAGGATTTTTACCCATTTTCCAGCCCCTCTCCCGGTCTCATTTATTTGGGCAGTGTCACATTAAAGGCATTGTCAGACTTCCTAGTCCTTCCCAAAGGCCTGACCCAACTCCTTCCCAAATGGTGAAGCACCTCTGCCTCCTTCCCTTTACACCTGTGGACCTACCACACTGGGGAACTCCTAGGTGAGTCCCAGAGAAAGCCCAGGTGAAAGACTATGAGCCTGTCGGAAGGGATCAGGGTAGAACCCAAGTTGGGACAGGCAGGGGAGGCAGTCCCAGTCTTTAGTGGGGTCAAGTAATTCCCCTTTACAAGCCAAATGAAGAAAAAAAGTTCTAAGGGGAGCATATGACTCCATCAAATAAAGGACATAATTGGGAGTGATATCTAATTTATCTATTGAATGCCTCCTACATACTCTTTTATCACTTAGATGGACAGAATATAATTGGTGTGCTGTGCGCCATCAATCTCAGGGCCTGGGCTTCCTGTGCTGGCTACACCTATTACTGTCAGATTACGACACTGTAATACCAAGATCAATGACATTTTAAACGTGCTCCAGTTATGGGCAATTGCTGACAATAAAAACAGTGACAAATTGATGAAACTTGGGCAGCGATGATCTGGTGTCAAAAATAAACCATAAAGAATCTGATTTCCAAACAGAGAGAGGTGCCTGGGACACCAGCTTAGGGAGGAAAGGCCCAGCGAGAAGAGAACCTATCCTGCTCACATGATCTTGGCCACTCAGGAAGCCACCTGCTCTGGAAAACTCCCTCTAGGCTGACCTGCAAGGCCCCAGCAGGAAGATGGAGAGGTGGTCTTTGGTTAAGGCTTGGGTTCCCCTTAGAGAGAATCATCATCACTGAGACTCTGGGAAGTGTCTGTGTGTGACTGCCAAGGTGGGCGCCACACAAACTCACTGAGATACTGGTGGGTTGTCTTTCATGTCCTGCCCACACTGAGGAATTACGGTAGACTGGTTGAGTCATAGAATCACACTTAGCCAATGTTAAAGCTAAAAGAGACCTTGAGAGTCTCTCTTCATGGAGGGTCAGGCTCTGTCCTCCAAACTGTCCCTCAGCAGAGGGACCTGGATCTTCCCTAACTTGACCCAGGCATTATTTCCCCAGGCTAATCCCCTTCCCCACCCATTGCAGGGAACTCCAGGCCTTCAACCAGCAGAACTATTTTGGCGTACATTAAGGTGGGCCTCCTCCAGCTCCTCTTTTTTTTTTTTTTTTTTTTTTTAGATGGAGCCTCGCTCTGTCGCCCAGGCTGGAGTGCAGTGACAAAATCTCCACTCACTGCAAGCTCCATCTCCCAGGTTCATGCCATTCTCCTGCCTCAGCCTCCCGAGTAGCTGGGACTATAGGCGCCCGCCACCACACCTGGCTAGTTTTTTGTGTTTTTAGTAGAGACGGGGTTGCTCCATGTTGGTCAGGCTGGTCTCGAACTCCTGACCTCAGGTAATCCACCCACCTTGGCCTCCCAAAGTGCTGGGATTACAGGTGTGGGCCACCATGCCTAGCCTCCAGCTCCTTATTTTTAATGGATTACCTAAATTTGTAGTATTTCTTTCATACATTTTTCTCACTTTAATAATCACAATTTTAAAATATGAATACTTTAGTAGCATTGCTAATACTACTTTATATAATAATACTTTAGTAGTATCACTAATACCAGTATTACAAGGATAACTACTATTGGGAAGCATTTATTGTGCAACTACTATATGTAAACTCTGTTCCAGGTGTTTCATGTGTATTATTTTTCATCCCCACAGCAGCCCTGTGAGGCGGGTATTGTTCTTCACATTTTAGAAGTGAGGAAACAGGCTTAGAGTCATAGTGATGTGCCTAAGACGACACAGCTGATAAGCAGTGGAGCAAGAAAGGAGCCTGATATGTGGCTCAACATTCATCTTTTTTCCATTGCCCTTTTCACAGACCTTTATAGTCCCATTTATAGACGGGGCTGAGGGCCTCCCTAAAGAACCTATAGCTAGTCAAAGGCAGAGCTAGAGCTAAGCCTAGCTTTTCTGACCCTTCTCGTATTAGACCTGCATTGTATGTATTTTTTTTTAAAGACTGGTCAAGTGCAGTAGTGAGAAGGGGGAAGGAGCAGAACAAGGAGTTTGATCTGTAACTGACTGTGAACAATCAATTGAGATAAGGCACTACCTTCGGAACACCCCCCACACTCTTTCCAGATGCACCACAACAGTCCTTTCCCCAGGTCACCACCACTCACTCAGCCAGGGGCTTCAGCCTTGGCCTCTAAGAGTCAGCAGGGGGTCACAGTTGGCTTTGAAACCAAGCAGACAGGTGTTTGAATCCCCACTCTGCCACCTTACAGCTGTGTGGCCTTAGGCAGGTGGTTGTGAGAATTTAAATGGCATAAGCATACAAAAGCATTTGGCGTAGAGTCTGGCACATAGTAGTGCTCACTAAATGGTAGTCATTAAAGATACAACCTGGGACAGTGGCAGCTAGTTTAACAAACCACCGCACCCCGTAGCACCTCTCACCTGGGTGCAAGTGCCCCAGGCCACACTGCAGTGGCTGCTCGCTGAGGGTGTCCCCGGATATATAAGAAGCCTCTCTGAGGGCCACAGAGGTTTTTTGATGGCAGATGGTTTAAAACATCATTTTTATATTAAGTTGTATAAAATATACTACGTTATAAAATGCAAAGTTTGCATCATTTTAGAGCTAAAACTTAAGGCCACAAAAGACTCTGCTATTTTCTTATTAATAAAAAATCCTATTTTTATATAATGCAAATAATGAAGATGAAGTAACCTATTATTTAAGTAAACATGTCTTTTTTTTTAAAAAAAAAAAAAAAGAAATAATTGGTCCTTGCTAATGGCCCTTCAGGGCAATCCCTCAGACTGCTGGGATCCAAGTTTACCCTCCTGCCTCTAATAACAAAGGGACTTTGGCAGAAAAGTTTGAGAAACCCTGTCAGGAAGAGAGCCTACACAAGGACCAGGAAATCTGACTTCTTCATTCTTTAAAAGAACAAAACAAATAGCAACATTGTGTTTTCTACCTTCCTAGTGTTTTACCTTCAAGTTTAGCATTAAGAACATGCAATGTTTTGTTTAAATTTATGATTCTTATTTCTGGTTCCTTTCTGTTTAATAATTACTAACTGAATCATTAATCATCAACCAAGTGAATGGTCACACTTTATAGAAGGCTACAAGGTGGAACACAAGATTAGTTGGATCCTTAAGAAAGAAACTAAAAGCTGCTTGCGCCTTAGATGCTCTTAAGTTTTATGACTGTGGTGGGAATTTGAGCATCCAGGCCTTGCTTCTGATGGTCCTCTCGTTCCAGTGCCCCAGTTCTAATCCTCTGTGGGTGCCCTCGGTAGTCACAGCCTTGGGGCTGCCCAGGGCTCAAGGCGTCCATGTTTTTAAAGTGCTCAACAATGGCTTTTGATTCATCAGAAACTCCACAGGACACCCACCTAACTGGGGCTCTGATACCTAATTCAGCAGCACCCACCACCAAGTCTTTCTAAGTTTTATTTTTTTTAATATTACATGCAATATATGTTAATTATAAATAAATGTAATAATTCAGGTAAGTGAAAAGGAGAAGGAAAAAAGGCCCAAGTAGTTTCCCCACTAAGGAAGAACCCTGGTTAGCGAGGCAAGTCACGTGACTTTGGGAATCATGTTGAATCTACACCCATTTAAGGTGGTAGTCTATATAGCCTGATTCTTTGATGGTTTAGAGCTCTGCTCAGTTTAGAGTTCAGGGAGGTGGTATCTACAGGGTGTATTGCTCTGATAAAAATTAGCAGCCTGCCCAAGTTCAAGGTATGAGGGGACCAATCACAGATTGGTTTGAGAATCATTATGTTGGCCCTTTGGTGACTCTAGGGATTAGATCCAGAGTACAAGGGGCCCACACTTCCAAGGGATCCCACCACACCTTCAAATAGCAGGCTCATGGAAAGGGGATTCCAAGATTCTCCCCCTCCAGCTACGGCATTGCTTTACAATATTTAACATTCCTTGACTAAAGAGCAAGTCTAAATTGCAAGTACTCCTAGGACAGGGACTGGCTTACATCCATGACAGCTCCCTCTCTGAGAGAAGGGCGTGCCTTACTCCACCAGACCAAACAAAACTAAAGTGACTTCTCTGCTACCCCCAGAGAGGGGCACTGGGGATGGTAAAAGCATTTCTGTCCCTGCACCCAGGGATGAAGTAGAGAAATGCCACTTAACCATAGCCAGGTCCCAAAGAATTGTGAGTGGAAAGAGTGATAAAAACAGAAGGACAGAACTGTGAGCCACTGCATTTCATTTAGGAAGTCAGTGCTAGGGTAACAGGAAGGATCGGGTGGGCTTTCAGGGGAGTGGAACCTGTTAGAGAAAGAACAAAACTGAGTGGAGACGCAAGGCAGGAGACCGTTTATAGGTGAATTAGCAGCAGAGGGTGGGTGGTGGCTGTGCCTGGGGCAGGGGTGGTGGGGTGAGGAAGTGGGGGTGGCAGTGACTTTGAGGGAGCTCTTGCAGAGGGTAGCTTTTTGAGGTGAAGAGCCAGAGCTCTGGGTCTTAAGAGTTGGAAAGCAGGTTATATTTCACATCCTTCCCTGAATAGAGAAATTGAATTTGGTCAAGAATAAGTCCTAAGAAGCAGCTGTAAGCACCCCACTTTTCCATCTTGTTGATGAATATGGAGTGGGAGCAAAGTTGAGTGTGGGCATCTGACAAGGTCTTTATGATCCTAGATGCACTTACTATACCTTCTTCCTCCTCCTCTGCCTTGGCTAATGGGCTGTGGGTACCCACCGCACAGAGGGCTATGAGACACTCATTGTGGCTGACGCAGAAGCTGGGCCCTGCCCTCCTGGCCTTCTGAGGAAAGTGATTATTGTTTTTGGCTTGTTTTTCAACTATCCCTTTGCCCCCAGCAGGACTGAACCTTTCCACTCTTACCATCTCTGTGTCCCTTCAGATCTTTTATAGCCTTGAACTACCTGCTACAAGATTTTTTTTCTGTCCTAAGAACGGAAGTCCGGTCTGCTTCCTAACATTAATCCCTTCCACACAGCACAGCCTCGTTTCCTCTAGATCAGAGAGATGGCTTCTGGATTCATCTTTCCCTGCAATCCAGCTTCTCCTCCTGGGGCCCTCATAATGGAGACTGGGATCATCATCCAGGCTTTTCCACTGGGTTAGGAATTTGGGAGTCATCCTGGATCCATCTGCCCCTGTCAACCTTTCTCTGTCAACAGATATTTACTGGGCATCTTCAACAGCCAGGCCCTGTTCATGGTGCTGAAGAACAGCATGTATAAAACAACCCTGCCCTCACAGGGCGATCACCAGTGACCTGTGGTGTGGAGTCTCCTTTTACCTCTGTCTCCTCCTTCCCACTGTCACCATCCTTGGTCCTCCTCTGTCACCTGGAATACTCCACTTGGTAACCAGCATGATCTTCTAACGCTAGTTTTACCCTTGTCAGCACTTTGCCGAAAACCTCAAATAAAGACTTTTTAAAAAATGTGCGATGGAAAACTAAAGTTATAAATTATATCATAACCATTGGACCTCTTTTTAAAATGCACTGAAGCCTTATAATGTTATTCATGGATATATATCTATGACAAAAATAGAAAAAATATATGATGGTGCTGCCTCTGAAAGGGAGGGGAATGGTACTGGGGAAGGGACAAAGGGAACTTCAACTTTATCTGTAATGACCTGTTTATTTTGAAAACTCAAGAGCAAAATTGACAAAATTTTAACAGTAACTTAACAAAACCTCAAGTCTGGATAGTGGGTTCAAGAGGGTTACTTTATATGGACAGGCAGTGACTCACGCCTACAATCCCAGCACTTTGAGAAGCCAAGGCAGGAGGATCTCTTGAGCCCAGCCATCCTCCCACCTTGGTCTCTTGAAGTTTGAGACTAGCCTAGCCTGCATAGTGAGACCCTGTCTCTTAAAAAAAAAAAATTGACAGCAACTCAGGAGGCTGAGGAAGAAGGATTGCTTGAGTACGGGAGGTCAAGGCTGCAGTGAGCTATGACTGAGCCACTTCACTCCAACCTGGATGATAAAGCAAGACTCTGTCTCAAAAAAAAAAAAAGTTAAAAAAAGAAAGTGTTCTTTGTAATCCCAGCACTTTGGGAGGCTGAAGCAGGTGGATCACTTGAGCTCAGGAGTTCGAAACCGGCCTGGCCAACATGGTGAAACCCTGTCTCCACCAAAAATACAAAAAAATAGCCAGATGTGGTGGGATCAGTCTGTAGTCCCAGCTACTCAGGAGGCTAAGGCAGGAGAATCACTTGAACCCAGGAAGCGCAGGTTGCAGTGAGCCAAGATCTCACCACTGCACTCTAGCCTGGGCGACAGAGTGAGACTCCATCTCTCTCTAAAAAAAAAAAAAAAAAAAAAAAAAAAAAGGAGTGTTACATTAGTTGTCTATATGTAGATACACTTGTCAAAATTTAAGCCATAAAACCCTCAGTGTCCCTCACTGTTCCCACCCCCTTAGCCTGGCATACTGGGTCTTTCACAAGCTTGTGTCAACCTCCTCTACAGACTCATCTCTACAGTGAGGGACTTGCAGTTTCCAAGTCCTCTGGCCTTGGGACCTTTGCCCATGCTGTTCTCTTCTGAATGCCCTTTCCTGCTTTGCTACTTTGTTCTTGCCCTTCTGGATTCAGCTCCTGGGAGGCCCTGTGGATTGAAGTCATATGGCTCAAGTAGGCAGCTGTTTAGGATCCAGGAGACAGAAACGTGTCTGGGGAGGACAACACTTTCTTGTCCTGGTTTCTATTCAGCTGCAACTAGAGAAACAGATCACCTGTTTCTTGTTCAAAACTAGGATCAGTGAGAGGAGGGTGGAAAGAGTAAGATCCTCCACAGTGCCCTCCCACCTCCCAGCCTCCCCCTACATAGCCTAGCCCCAAGGCAGAAACTTCCCAGCAGAAAAAGGAAAACTGATAACCTCATTCCTTGGTCTGGCTCTGTTAGGATTATCATCTGGTTTCCCCTGCTGGTGTTGGAAGAGCTGTGTTGGTGCAGGCCAGTGCTATCCTGTGACTAGAGGGAAGAAGCTCTGCCTGGGCCTGATTTGGCCACAAGCTCCTAGTAAGATGCTGAAAAGGAACACAAACTCTAGGCCAGGACACCCTCCCCATGATATCCCACACCTGACTTCTGCGCACCTTGTGAGCAGATCAGATTCGGTGTTGCTTCTTCCACATCATCCTCGCATCCCCTTTCACAGACTCGGATAGATCCCCTCATGGGAACCTATGGATCTATGGCATATCTATGGATATGCCACCCCATGGCAACTGTCCTTTCCCCTTCATATCATACATCACCCTGAATTATAGCTGCCTGTTTATGTATGTGTCTTCTGCACCAGGTAGTACTCTCTGATGGGGCAGGGATTGGGTCTGTCTTGTTCACAGTTGCATCTCCAGCACCTGCAACTCTGCCTGGCTCAGAGTAAGTGCTCAATACTTTTTGTTTTTGATTGAATGATAGAATGACGAGTGAACTCTATTTCCCACTAGACTGTGAGCACCATGTTGACAGGGACCATGCCCTGATCATCTCTGGATCCTTAGGGCCTATATAGTGCTTGCCACATAGGAGGTGCTCAGTAGGCACTTATTGATTTGAGTGAATGGACTTCAGTTTCTCCACTTACAATCTGAGTAAGAGGAAGATATTCTTTGCCCTCTCTCCCTCCTTCTCCAGCCACATTGGGGGTTGTGGTTGATGCTGTGAGGTCGTTCCTGCCTTATTCAACTTCATGTCCAAATCTTCTAATGGCAAAACACAACATGGTGGCCAAGTCTCAGAGTCCAGGCATCCCTCCCATAGCCCATAGCCAAGTATGGGAGAAGGGTGCTTCAGGGTCTCTCTCCATTCACTTTAGTCTCCAGCATTAGCCAAGATCCCACTGTCTACCCTGAATTCTTCCTGCTATTGCACAAGGCTTCTTTCATCTTACTGTATTGTCAGGGAAAATATAGCCAAGATTATCTGCTCCTCAACCTGAAGTAAAATATAGATTCTGCCTAATTTTAGAACCGGTGTTAGCCAGGTGTGGTGGTTCATGCCTATAATCCCAGCATTTTAGAAGGCCAAGGCAGCAGGGGAATTGCCTGAGTCCAGGAGTTCAAGACCAGCTGGAGCAATATGGCAAAACCCCATCTCTACAAAAAAAGCAAAAAAATTAGCTGGGTGTGGTGGCACACACCTGTAGTCCCAGCTACTCAGGAGGCTGAGGCAGAGGATCATTTGATCCCGGGAAGTGGAGGTTGCAGTGAGCCAAGATCATGCCACTGCACTCCAACCTGGGTGACAGAGTACGATTCTGTCTCAAAATAAAAACAAAGAATAAAACCAGTGTTTCCACATCTGGAACTTTCTTTTCAAGTTTATATCACCTCTCCTTCCAAATCAGGTCTCCCCTCTTCCAGGAAGTACTCCTTGATTAAGCCAAAAATGTTTTAATTTTCACCACTTGTCCTATTACTCTGCATCCCCACAGCACTTGTAGTTTGTACTTATTCCCTATCCTGTTTAAGTGTGTTCATCATCCTAACCATACTGCATAAGCAGGCACTATTTTAAGTAGGCTTGATAGATTATCAGAAATTGACAAGAAAAAATACACACCAGGAAGAAAGTAGAAGAGGATTTTTTTCTTTTCTTTTCTTTTTGCTTTATCATTGAATTTCTTGTCTTGGTGCTTACAAGCTGTGTAGCACAATGAGAGGAGAATGTGATTTCTGCAAAACATTTCAGGAAGCACAAAGTATCTGTAAATACCCAGGAATAATGACCATGTCTTTTATTTGTATTATTTTTCTAATTCCTCCACTCTATAGGTTTTGCCCAAAGTCCTTGATTTAAGCCCTTGAGTGTTGGTTGGCTGACTTAGCTTTGGATTGTGGTCCACTGAGATCGCTGGATCTTTTTAAGCTTTAGAGTTATGCCCTGCCATGTGGATGCAGGTGGAGGAAGGACTTCTCAGTGTGACCCATGAGAGGAGTAGCTCTCCTGGGCCCCAGGCCCCAGGCTGCATGTGTATGGGAGGGAGGAGGAGAAGCAAGGAAAGGAGGAGAGACAGAAGTATATACTGAGCTGGTATTTGGGGGAAGGGTTGGCGGGTGGGGAGAAGGGAAGAGAGGAGTCTGGGCCAAGGCCAGATGTGTCTCCCTGGGGAGTCCTCAGAGCGGGCAGCCGGACGTCGCTCCATCCTTCCCGCCTGACGGATGGGTCTGCTGCGCAGGCACAAGCTGTCGGGCCAGGCCCTGCCAAGGCAGAACAGTGGCGCTTCTGTGCACGCTGCTCCGCTCCGCTCAGGAGGATGGGGCCCGCCCGGGAAGCCAGGGAGTGATGGAGAAAGCAGACGTCCCAGAACAGGAGCCAGGGGGTCACAGAAGCACAACTGCCTCCCGAAACAAGGGGCCACAGGATGAGGTGGGAGGGGACAGGGAATCAACGCGGGGGAGCGTTTGGGGGAAGTGTTGGTCGAAAGAAGAGAGGCAGAAGGATGCGCGCTGAAGGAGCCTGGGGATGAAGAGCTAGATGATTTGGCCACAAGCCCCCTCACCTTTAAGAACAAAGCTTCCTGCATTCAGTTGCAGAGTTTTGTTTCCCGGTCAGATGCTCAGAGACCTTCCAACCTGTCCCCCACCCCTCAGCCTTGCCCATCTCCACGGGCATCTTCCGCGCCCTCGCCCAGGACTCGGAGCCCACCACCCTCCGCCTCCGCCTGGCCTGGCCCGCGAGATCCCTGACGCTCCAGTTCGGAATCTGGGATCCGCAGGCTCCCAGATCCGCCGCTGGCCCGGCTCCGACCCGCCTGTCAGCCGCCTCCCCCTCAGCGTTAATTAAAACTTGCGAGATGGAGAGGCTGGCGCGGGCGGCTCCGTTTAATTTGCAGCATCTTTCATGCTGCTGACGATCGTAAAGGGCTTTAATATTGAAATATGGGTCATTTTCCCAGCTCCAGCCCTCGCCGCGCGCTCCCCGCACCCCCACACCCAGCCACCCTGCGCTTGACGAAAGAGCCCCTGCAAATCCATTAAGGAGAGATAATTGAAAACTCCCGGGTAATATTTAAGACCGCGTGCCGACCCGGGGTGGAGGGCCTGACTGCGCCCTCTTTGCCTGTCAGTGCTGGTGCATGCCAGTCCCTAGCACTCTAGGCCCACCAAAGCCCCGTGGACGCCCAGCCAAGGCCCGCCGTCTTAGCGGTGCCTCCTCACTCCCTGCACTCAAAAGGCTGGCTCTGCCCTAACCTGGCTCTGCCGAAGACTTGCCTGGAGACCCCAGTTCCAAAAGGAGCCACAAGGCATGCTGTGTGACAGATGCATTAGAGCCAGCATGCACGGGGGCCAAAGCATCTTGTCCCACTCCTTCAGCTTTGGTTTGATGTACCAGCACCAGGCACTGCTCAAGCTTCTGAGCACAGCATCCCCTCTGCCTGCAAACTTTTCCCTCCAGCAATTTCTACTTGGGGAATTGCCGTTCCTCTTTCAAAACCAGCCCAGTTCCACCCCAAGTAATGGTGCAGTGGGGTATGGAACGTGGGTGGGAGTATAGACACACCAAGATCCTGGTGTGACCATTGTTGCAGTTGCATGATGAGGACACTATACTGCTCTGTTTTCGTATGTTTTCAATGTTCCACGACAAACATGTTTAGAAAGCAGCTGAAGCATCTTCTTTTATGCCTCCCTCTCCCATAAATACAGACTACCTGTTATCTTGTACATTGATGTTCCTTAGCACATCGTGTTGCCATTATCTGTTTAAAGTCTTTCTGCCTACTCAGCTGTGACATCTTCAGGACAGGGATCAGGTCTAATTTCACTCCTTAGCCCTTGCTCCAGGCCCAGTGCAAGGCACACAACATGCGCTCAGTAAACATCACTGAATAGGCTGCTCTCTGGGTAGCTAGAAGTCTCTAGGGCTTAAGGTTAGGATACAAGCACACGGAAGGAGTGTAGGGCAAAGCATGGAAGAGGGGTAGGGTCTGTGAGGCTGGGTTGGGGGTCATGTCTCTCTCCCACAATGACTGGCTTCAGGATGTTCCCAGAATGGGAAAAGGGTAGAGGACCCTGTTCTGCACTGTGATTTAGAAATCCTTAGGTCTCTACCTGGGACTTTTGGGGATGTTTCTCCACTTCACTCCATTTGGCTTACTCTCCCAATCAGGTTAGACACACACACACACACACACACACACACACACACACCACCACCACCACCACCACACACCTTAGACAGGGAAAGAGTGGGAAAGAGGGAAGAAGAAGAGATTATTTGAAGACCTACTTGTGCAAAAGGCATGAGTAGTTCAGGCATTTCCATGGATACCCAGCTAACCCCCTACCACAAGGCCTTTCCTACTTACCCCTGTTGCACAGTCTTCCCCAACACTGTGTCCAACACCCATACAGGGGTTATACTCACAGGATGGCACTATCGAGGAAGAGGGAGCTGTTCTGACTCAGCCCCCCTAACCGCACATTGGCCCTGAAGCCACAGTTGCAATGATGCCCTCTCTATGGCCAGAATGAGATCCAAACCATTCCAAAGTTCCATTTCCAAATAAGGACTCCTCGTTAGAACCACAAAACATCAGAGCTGGAGGCAACCAAAAGAGCACTGTGTCCCCTCTTAGTGTCTATGGGGCAACTAAGACTTAGAAAGGGTCTGTGATGTGCCCCAGGTCACAAAGCCATTGGTAACTGGGTGGGCGGGGTGGCTCACGCTTGAAATCCTAGCACTTGGGAGGCCAAGGCGGGTGGATCATTTGAGGTCAGGAGTTCGAGACCAGCCTGGCCAACATGGCGAAACCCTGTCTCTACTAAAAATACAAAAATTAGCAGGCAGTAGTGGAGCATGCCTGTAATCCCAGTTACTCAGGAGGCTGAGGCAGAGGAATTGCTTGAGCCTGGGAGGCAGAGGTTGCAGCAAGCTGAGATCATACCACTGCACTCCAGTCTGGGCAACAGAGTGTGACCCTGTCTCAGGAAAAAAAAAAAAAAAAAAAAAAAAGCCATTTGTAACAAAACCAGTGCTAGAATCCCAGCAAGTTAGTGGTGGAGCTGGAATTAGAATCCCAATCTCTTGACCCACTTAAATATATACAATTGGTATTCGAAGTGCTTTTCACAAACATTATCTCATTTAATTCTCTCTCTCTCAATAGGATCTCACTCTGTCACCCAGGCTGGAGTGCAGTGACATGATCATGGCCCACTGCAGTCTCAAGCTCCTGGGCTCAAGCAATTCTCCCACATCAGCCTCAGGCACATGCCACCACACCTGGCTAATTTTTGTATTTTTGTAGAGACAGGGTTTCAGCATGTTGCCCAGGCTGGTCTTGAAATCCTGGGCTCAAGAAATCCTCCTACCTTGGCCTCCCAGAGTGCTGAGATTACTGGCATGAGCCACCGTACCTGGCCTCATTTAATTCTCACAAACCTATGAGATAGCATCACAATTCCCATCTACAGATGAGAAAAATGAGGCTCAGGGAGAGCCATGATTTTTCCAGTGTCATACACGGGTGGAAAACAGATCCAGGATTTGAACCCCAGTTTGACTGGCTCCAATTCCAGTGCCCTTTCCACTCACTTCTCCAGTATCTCCCCCTACACCCCACCCAGCCAAGTCAGGCCATTAGCCCAGCTTCCCCCACCCAGGGCAATGTTCTTTGCCCCAGTTTTGGAGGTGGGGATGTGGTAGTCTCCGCTGTGGTTCTGGGTACAGGCCTCCATGAACTGAAGCCATGCACAGCCTGGCCTCCTGTGCGCAGCCCTACTCCTGTTCGTGGCCACGGAGGCCTCAGCCATAAATCCCCAGGTCTTGGCTCATAACCATTAGCAAGCGATTGGGCTCATCAGGACGCCTTTATGAGACTCGGGTCAAATAAATGGATTGCCGGAGGTCAGGAACAAGGGATCTCCTTGCCTTGCCTTGCTTCTGAGATGCTCCCACCACCCAGAGGTTGGCAGATTCTGTTTGACTCACAGCTGTACGTGGAAGTGGGGGCACTGTCACAGTGGGATAAAGATGTACAGTATCCCCTGGTACTCCACACCCATGGAAGGAAAAGCACTTGGAGATGCACATCCTCATATAGCCCACAGTCATTAGGGCTGGAGGAACACACACACAGAGGCACATATACACACTCAGACCCCCATCTGTGATTCAAATCCACTCTTCAGCAACCAACCCCCTAACCCCACCCACCTCACATCATCTGATGTCCTCACACTCCATTCCTCCTGTGAGGTACTTCCTGAAACACTGCTTCTCAAACACCACTGTGCACACAAATGACCTGGGACCTGGTTAAAATACAGATTCGGACTCAGTAGATCTGGGGTGGCACCTGAGCTCTGTTTTCTAACCAGCTTCCAGGTAAGGCCAGGGCTGCTTCTCCAAAGATTTTAAGCAGTGGTCCTCCCACATTAGAAGGGCAAGGGCTTTCAAAATGTAAAAGAGATAGGAGAGTGCAGTTTGGGAAATCTCCTCTCCCACTCCCATCCCCCAAATGCTGCTGTGCACACCCAGGTGACTGAACTGTTTCTAGAATGCTTTTACCTCACTCTTTACATGACTCCCTCTCATTCTTCAAACCTCAGCCCAAGTGTCACTTCCTCACAGAAACTTTCTCTGACCACCCAATTTATTTTATTTTATTTTATTTTATTATTTTATTTTATTTTATTTTATTTTATTTTATTTTATTTTATTTTATTTTATTTTATTTTATTTTTTTGAGACGGAGTTTTGCTCTTATTGCCCAGGCTGGAGTGCAATGGCACGATCTCAGCTCATGGCAATCTCCGCCTTCCGGGTTCAAGCAATTCTCCTGCCTCAGCCTCCCAAGTAGCTGGGATTATAGGCATGCGCCACCACGTCTGGCTAATTTTTGTATTTTTAGTAGAGACAGGGTTTCTCCATGTTGGTGAGGCTGGTGTCAAACTGCTGACTTCAGGTGATCCGCCAGCCCCAGCCTTCCAAAGTGCTGGGATTACAGGCGTGAGCCACCATGCCTAGCTGACCACCCAATTTAAAGGGTCCCTGCTCCACCCTGTCTTTGATTACCCACTTCACAACAGGTCTCAAAATTGCATGTATCTATTTGCTAACTTGCTTACTTATTTTTTTGTCTGTTTCACTCTCTGAAATGTATGGCCCTTGAGTTCAGGGATTATGCCTGTTCCATTTATTCATGAATTCTTGGCAACCTGTGCCTAGTGCATAGTAGATACTCAGTAAATATTGCTGGATAGGCCAGTCACAGTGGCTCATGCCTGTAATCCCACCACTTTGGGAGGCTGAGGGGGGCAGATCATCTGAGGTCAGGAGTTCGAGACCAGCCGGGCCAATGTGGTGAAACCTCGTCTCTACTAAAAATACAAAAATTAGCTGGGCATGGTGGCACAAGCCTGTAATCCCAGCTACTCTGGAGGCTGAGGCAGGAGAATCACTTGAACCTGGGAGACACAGGTGGCAGTGATCCAAGACTGCCACTGCACTCCCACCTGGGTGACAGAGGGAGCCTCTGTCTCAAGAAAAATAAAAAATAAAAATAAAAATAAAAAAATAAAAGATTATCTGAAAGAGTATCTGGATCCAGGACTGAGGCTGTAGGTAACCTGAGAAAGTATCTTGGAGGAAGGAAAATGGGAGGAAAAGAACATTGTGTGAAGGACTTAAGAAAGGTGACTCAAGGAAAGTGGGAAGGCAAGGGTATCCAGATAAGATTGGCCCCATTGGTCCTGGGTTGATATGACAGGGGTGAGGAAGGGTCCTGGAGGGAGAGATCCTGGGGATAGCAGCAGATGCCGCAGGGTCTCGGAAACTATGACAGGCACTAAGAAGACATGTGGGCTTCCCTCCACCTCCTGGACAAGGACCTTCATTTATTCATTCTTTCCTACACTTGACAAATTCTTACTGAGATCTTATTAGGCCCCAGGCACTGTGCTGGGTGCTGAATATTCAGGAATGAGCACAATGGGTCTGGTTCCTACCCTCCTAGAGATTACAGTCCAGTGGGAGAGACTGACAGTAAACATATTAATATGTTACAGTTGGGCCAAGTCTACAAAGGATAGGGTATGATAACAGGTTTGATGGGTGGTTCCCTAGGGAGAAGTTTCCCTAGGGAGTGACAGTCACCCAGAGTGCTGATGGGTGGAGGTCTTTTTTGCCAGCCCCCTGCCAAGCTTTTGTCCTGGACTTTCCTGCATTCCTCTGCACTGTCCCTTTAAGAGGAGCATCTCTTCCCTGAGCAAAGGCAGTTCGGGCACACAGCCTGAGCCTGCCAAGGTTGTGGGCCATAAATCAACGCTGGCACTCCCTTGGCAGTGGGCCCTCCTCTGAGCTGCCCAGATGGCAGGCAAGCCTGGGGCTCCAGGGGCAGCCAGGCACTCAGGAGGGGGGAGGAGGGCAAGGGGTGGACACAGCTGGGCCCCAGGCTCCTGATGGCAGCTGCCCACTTCTGTCTAAGGGCCCTAGGCCAGGGAAAATGCCAAAGTCCTTCTATTCTAGTCCCAGGGACCTTCTGACTCCCAAGTCAGTCTAGCATGGGGCTGTTGGGATTATTGTTCCCACCCCAGCCAGGGACCAGGGCCTCATAGTCATCCTCTGAGACCAAGGGTCTTGGATGACCTCTTGGGATCACAGTCTGCTCTAACATTCAACCTGAAAGTTCTGCCTGTGGTTTGACCTTCTTTCCTCTTGCTGTAGCCGAGGTGTCTTCTTTTACCCTGCATGAAAGATGAAAGACAATAGCTCCCCATTTAGTGGGGGCTTTGGGACTGTGCGATATCTCCCTCCACCTTCACTTTAAGCCTCCCAGAAAAGCAGGATAAAAAGATGATTCAAGGTCAGTTGGAGAGATGGAACTCTGCCCTCTTGGGGGTTGCCATCCCTCTGCCACCCTCACAGGTGCTGTGACAGAGGGAACATATGTTGCTCCTACCCCAGAGGACAGAGACAACATCTTAGCAGCCACAGCCCCACAGAGCTGGGCTCAGCAGGCCTTGACAGAACTGGAAAGGCAGCCTCTCTCCTGGGCCTGGGCCTGGCCTAAGCCTGGGTTGTGGGCGGAGGGGTGGAAGCAAAGCCTGTAGACCCCTCGCAGAAAGGAATCAACAGGCTTGACTGCTCTCCCCACGCTCACTCCCAAACAGTAGAACAGTGGAAAATTCATGAGTTCCAGAACAATAGAGATTTCCTGGGATGTCCTTGTCCTCAGATTCTCTGTGAGAAGTCAGAGTTTACAAGTCCTTAGAGATTCTTTCTCACACACTCATCATACAGATGAGGAAACTGAGATGCAGAGAAGTTCACCCAGGTCTTTTTCAGGTTGTTTTTACCACACCACATTTGCCACATGAACAGAAACTCCCAGAGCTACCACTAAGCAGGATGTATTAGACTCTAAAGGTAGTAGCATAGATGGAGGTTAGATAACAAGTAGAACTTTCTCAGAATAGTAGGTCACAGAAGAAGATGAGAAGCAAAGTAAAGAAAGTGCATTCTCTAAAACAGTGGGGTGGGGGTCGGAGGGATGGAGCCAAAGAATCAGGTTAGAATTTTGCAAAAAGATAGAAATATAGAGAACACAGGAGAGGGAGCTGGCATAGAGCCCAGAGCAAGGACAACTGGGGTGTGGAGCTTCTGGGGTTCTTCATTCAGGACCCCTAGATTTCATCTGTCCCAGGCTTCTGGGTATCACCAGTAGTTTAAAGTCAGGCCTTATCTGGGCTGATTCTCTTGGCTTTCTCCTTGCTCTCCCGGGATGGCTTATCTGGCTGCCAGAGTCATTTGCCATCTCTAATTTGTGTTTAAATTAAAGTTCCCACAAACAGAGGTTTAATGTGCTGTTACCAAGAACTCCCAGGCCCCCTGCAGCTCTGGGAAATTGAAGGGGCTGGGGAGAAGAGGTCAGTCTGTGTGCATCCCATCGAAGCTGATCCCACTGGCGTTGGACCTGGAGTGGATAGCCCAACTAAGTGTCTCCGTCCTTGCTGCTCCATCCAGAATGGTGATGACAGGGGGCAGGGCAGGGAAAAGCATGCTCACAAAGGGCCTGGGACCAACATGCCTGTTCAGGGGCTCCTGGGTGGCTGTTCACCCTTTTTCAGGATGATGAGGAGAAGGCAGGGGAGGTGGGCAATGAGAAGAGGGCAGGGGGTGGAAAATAAGGAGAGAGCAGGAGGCTCCATTCTGTAACACTTGTGTATGGCGCTCACTGTGTGCCAGCACTGTTCCTGGGCACCTCACAACTACAAATTCAACCTTCTACACAACCTGTAAGGCAGGTGTTATTATCATTAGCCCCATTTTTATAGATGGGGAAACAGAGGCATGCCCAGTATCACACAGCCAGTAAGAGGCAGATCCAAGGAGTCAAGCCAGTGCCATCTAGCTCCAGATTCCCAGTGCTATGCTGACACTTAAGCCAAAATTTATCTGTCACCCTCCCAATCCCTTGATCACAAGGTGAGGCTTCTCTTTGCCAGAACAACTGAGACAAAGTGAAGCTCCCATCCTGCTCCCCAGATCTTTACCTCTCTGGGCCACAGTCTTCTCATCTATAAAATGAGGATAAGATACTAGGAGGGGTTGAGGGTCCGGAAAGGTTTAATGAGACAGCTTGTCAGTGACCAGCACAGGGTAGGTCCCCAGCAGTGGCTGCTTCCTTCTCTGTAGTCTAACCATGAGCCTTCCTGCTGTGCCTTCCTGCACTGCCTCTTAATTCTGCTTTCAAAGGAGCTAGCGGCAGTGATTCTCGCCCCTTAAAGAAACTCTCAGGAGAGCATTGTTCCTCATTCATTTGTCCAAATTCTCTCTCTTCCTCTGGGAAACCCTGAAAAAGAGGGATAATAAAGCTGAACTGGAGCCCCAACCTGCTCTGTCCCCACCTCCTCTGCACCCAGGTGAGCCAGTCAGGGTGGCAACAGAAAATAAATGACACATTCGAGAGGGTTTCACTGAAGGGTTTAGTGATTTGACAGTTTCTAAAGGCATAGACCAGATGAAGAAAACTAATCCTGGTGCTAGTGTGGCACCAGGATAGAAATATCTCTACCAAAGCCCAATGCCAACTGGGCTCACGGGACACAAGAGAGAGGCCACTCAGCAAAGCTGTGACCATGGAGGAAACACAACCACCACCAGAGCTTCAAGCAGGCAAAAAGGGGGGCTGACAGGGAATGGAGGAAACAAATACCCTGACTCCTCTCTCCCCCTTCTCAGCCGGGAACTCTATTGGCCGAGAGATCAGGGGGCCCATGTGACACAGTCTGCAGAGGTCAGCCTCCCTGGGCAGAGCAGCACAGAGAACACAGTGGGGCAAACAGAAAACCATCCCCGTCCCATCCCACCCGTGAGTCCCTGCTCTGATACCAAAGCCTCCTCTCTGCTGCTTTATTGCCACCACTGTCACTGCCTGCAGCCAAACAGTGAATGACAGGGAAAGAGAGTCAAGACTCCTTCAAGCAAATACTCCAGCTCACAAGGGAGGTGGGATCCAGGCAGAGGGCAGCTTGAGGGAAGAGGGCTGTGTCTGAAGGACGGCAGAGCAGGGACTGCCCACTCTCAGCATGGAGAGACAAAGAGAAGGACCGCACTGGGGTGAGGATGTCAAACGGTGATAGTAAATGACTCTCTTTCCTCAGCATATGATGCAAATCACTGTGGATCTTCCTTCCTCCTCCCCTCTCTAGACCGGGAGCCCCTGTGGGGAAGGGATGTTGTCTTGTTCTTCCTTGATATCTAGCACAGTGCCTCTTAGGGGCGTAATCAGAATTTATTGAATAAATAAGCAAATAGATATGTAAATGAATGAACAAACCCATTTGCAGCTCATATGCACAGCCCTGGGACCTGGTCAGGGAGCACTGTTGAATGAATGGCATGCAGCATTCCTACAGAAGTTTTATTTCAATCAGTTCCATCACCTACCACCTCAGGTTTCCTTTCAGCCACTCAGTCACGGGCCACACAGCCCACGTTTGTCTCCACACTGGCCAGAGGCTGTGCTTTGATAGCACCCACTCAAATGTGCAGTGACCTCATCTAGCTCCTCCTGATGGAGGAATAAGGGGAGTAGCAAGTGACTTCCTTTCTCACAGCAGCCTTTCTGTGAGCTCTTTCTTGAGAGAAATCTTGATCCATGGCAAACCGTCTGTGGTATTCTCGGCTGTAGCCCTTGGCGGGAGATGGGAGGAGGGAATGACAGTGCCAAGGAAGCAGCTGAAGGATCGTCACCCTGGGAGCCACAGCTCTGGCTTGCTTTTTCCAATGGGCCATAAAGACTGAGGGAGGCAGGCGGAAGCAGGGGCACCAGACTAACAAACTAGAGTTTCAAGTGTAGTCCCCATGCGATGCCCACCTTGCGAAGTGGTTACAGATGCTGGGGCTGGGCTCAAGATCCCTGTTCTACCACCTGCTGGCTGTACAACCTTGGGTAAGATACTTGATTACCATGCCTCAGTTTCTGCATCTTAAAAAATGTGAATAACAGTAATGCCTACTTCACATGGTGGTGAAAAAGTAGATGAGTTAATAGTTATGAGATACAGCCAGGCCTGGTGGCATGGGCCCATAGTCCTGCTACTCAGAAGGCTGAGGTGGAAGGATTGCTTGAACCCAGGAGTTCAAGACCAGCCTGGGTAACATAGCAAGACCGCTCCCCCCCTTTTTATTTTGAGATGGAGTTTCACTCTTGTTGCCCAGGCTGGAGTGCAATGGCATGATCTCAGCTCACTGCAACCTCCACCTCCTGGATTCAAGTGATTCTGTTGCCTCAGTCTCCGGATTCCAGGGATGAACCACCACACCCAGCTAATTTTTGTGTTTTGCATTTTTAGTAGAGATGGGGTTTCACCATGTTGGTCAGGCTGGTCTCGAACTCCTGACCTCAGGTGATCTGTCCACCTCGGCATCTCAAAGTGCTGGGATTACAGGTGTGAGCCACTGCGCCTGGCTGCAAGACACCCATCTCTCTAAAAATGAAAGTTTTGAACTATTTAGGAGAGTACATGATCCATGGTAAGCTCTATATAAACTTTGTTACATAAAATTAAGGTTCTAGTCCCATAAGCTTTTTTCTGTAATAAGCTGCTCAGCCTTAGATACCTCTCATATTTGCTGTGAGAAGTGAACAAATGCATGTGAAAACTGTAATGTGTTTATAATTTTTATTATTTGTCATCAAGATCATGTAAGAGACCTGATTTAGCAGAGGGTGAAGGGATGCAAAAGGGGCTGTCAGTCATCAACTTTTGATTATCTGCCTTGTTAAGGTCCCCTTCTTGTCAACATCATCAGCTCTTTGGCTTGTTCAAGTCTTTTGTTGACAATATCCAGGCCTCTCATGGTTCCTCCCACACACAACGGGCTACACAGCAAGGGCTGGAAGGAAAAAACCTTTGAAGGCAAAACCGGTCCTTCCCTTCCTTAGCCTTGAAGCGGGAATAACCACTAGACAGAAGGCTGTGAGGGAGGACTCAGGCACTTCCACTGTGGCTGCTGTGCCTTTGGGCAGGAGGGGAAACTGATCAGCTCCCTCTGTGGTAGGGCCGCAGGAAGAGATGTTGGCATTTGTTATGAAGTGCTAGGAATAAAAACACATACATGGCCGGGTGCAGTGGCTGACGCCTGTAATCCCAGCACTTTGGGAGGTCGGGGCGGGCGGATCACAAGGTCAAGAGTTTGGGACCAGCCTGGCCAACATGGCGAAACCCCGTCTCTACTAAAAATACAAAAATTAGCCAGGCGTGGTGGTGGGCACCTGTAATCCCAGCTACTCAGGAGGCTGAGGCAGGAGAATCACTTGAACCCAGGAGGTGGAGGTTGCATTGAGCTGAAATCATGCCATTGCACTCCAGCCTCGGCAACAAGACCAAAACTCCATCCCAAGAACAAACAAACAACAACATCAAAAAAAAACAGAAAACAAAAAACAACAAAAAAAACCCATACACACATACTTATCCCAGTGTCCAGAGCAAATGTTCTGCCACTTACTGGTATGGGTGTGATTTCAGATAGCTACTTAAACCCTGGGTTTCGGTTTTTCTCATCTTCAAAATGGAAATATTGATGCCTAATTCAAAGGGTGAAAATTAATGAACTATAGAAACCCCTTGGTGTATGTCTGGTCCAATAAATGGTGGCTCTTTTTAGCTAACATTTTGTAATATCTGCCCACTATCTCCTCCAAGGGATGGAGAAGTAATGCTGACTTCCAGACTAGGAAAGGTAGCGGTAGCAGAAAGTGATTTACAACTCGACATTTTTCACATTTTCTTTCCAGAGCACATAGTAAGTTCTTGTTAGTTCATTCATTCATTGAACAGTGTTTAGAAGTTTGAACAAGCTTGAACAACTTGCCATCATTTTGCTCACTTGTATTCATCTTACTCTCACCACTAGAACTGCAAGGTCCATGAGGGCAGAGGCAGTGTCTGTTGCTGGGTGAGTGACTGAATGGACCTCAAAGAATGTCTGAAGACTGAAATGGGCCAGGCAAGGAGATGGAAACTGGAGGCCTGGATTCTGGGCTCAGTCATACCTCCAAGAACATAACTTTCCCTCAACCCTGGAGTCTTCACAGACCTTCCTTCCACTGTGAGGCACTGGATAATCACTTGATACCAGACTCAGGAACTCTTCCCTGATGGGAAGACATTCATTCATCCACTCCATGTCTCTGAAGCCCCAAGAGAAGGATCTGAATCCCCTAGTCTGAAGAGTCAGCGAGTTTCCAACATAGCAATCATGATAAAAAGGGAGAATTGATAAAGGAGGGAGCAGCCCCAACTCAGTAACAACAGAGGGAGGAAAATTCCAGCTAGTACATGTACTTAATATGAAAGCAGACATGTGCCAAGACCCTCCTTTCATGGGTACTAGGTGTTCCCAAATATAAGAAACACCCATTCTTGCCCACAGGCCTCACTGGATACTATCCAAAATGTCTAGAGAATAAGAGGAAAGAGAGAATCATAATATCCAAAAGGTGGAAACAACCCAAATGTTCGCCAACAGATGAACGGATAAACAAAGTGTGATATATCCATACAATGGAATATTAGTCAGCCTTGAAAAGGAATGAAGTACTGATAAATGCCACAACATGGATGAACCTTGAAAACACTATGCTCAATGAAAGAAGCTAGTCACAGTAGGTCTCTTATTATATGATGCCATTCATATGAAAGTCCAGAATAGGGAAATCTACAGAGACTGAAAGTACATTAGTATTGTTAAGGGCAAGAAGGAATATGGGGGGATAGGGAGGTGATAGCTAAAGGTTACAAGATTTCTTTTTGAGGTGATGAAAATGTTCTAAATTTAACTATGGTGATGGTTTGACATACCTGTGAATATACTAAAACCACTGAATTGTACATTTCAAATGGTGAATTGTATGACACATGAATTATACCTCAAGAAGGTTGTTTTTTAAAAAGACAGCGTAAGGGGTAGGGGGAAGTTGAGATGAAGCAGGAAAACTGTGATCAGAAACAAAGCTCAGGGGCTGTCTGGCCTGGTTGCCCCAAGTCAAAGCCTGCATTTCATACAGGCAATGTTAAGGTAGCCCCCAAGCCACAATTCAGAAAGATAAATTGACCCCAGAAGGTATAGGGCTGGGTCCCTTCTCCACTGAGAGCTCCCTTTCTGTGTTTTTTCTGGCACAAGAAACTCTGTCATCTTGTATAAGTAGGAGAAATTTATGGCAGTTTTCCCTCTTCTTCTCCCTGGTGGGCTACTAGGAAAGGTCCCGGGGGAGGAGGGAGCCTGAAATTCCAAAAATATAAATGTGGAAAGACTGGAGGGGGTCGAGGAGTCTCTTTGCCTGCCTTGACTCTGGCCCCAGCTCTCCTTTCCCTTTGCATGTTTGACCATCTGGGTGATGCAGAGGGTAGAGAGCTGGTGCAGCCCGTTCTCTCTGCAAGCCCAAAAGAGATGGTTCCCAAAGCAGATATCCGACAGGAGGGGCACAAGGGAAATCAAGAAAATAGGCTTGGCTGTCCCATGAAATTATTGGAGGAGACACAGACCACTGCCTTCCTTCTTGGATTTGGCTATTTTTGTACTTCCCTGTTTGTTCAGGCAGCCTGATACAGTGGGAAGAAAACTCGTCCTAGATTTAGAAAGATTGAAAGAGAAACTAAGTGTGTGACCTTAAGCAAGTCATATCTTCTCTCCGGGCCTCACCTGTAAAAAGAGGGAGGGGACTGAATTTATCAGGGGTTTTCAAATGAGTTTAACTCTGGGGTCCTTCCTTCAAATAAAACCGTATGTAGTGACCCAACATGAACACGAGTAGTAGCCTGCTGAGCTTCTTGAAGGTAGGAATGGGAGTCAGGTCCCTGTTGTGACTGTTAAGAGGCTTGTCCAAGCACAAGATGATCTCCATGGCCTTTCCAGCCCTGTCCTCAGGAGGGATTTGCCCCCATGGTGAAAAGGCTCAGTTCTGCACATCCAGTGGGCTTGAAATCCAGCTCCACTCCCTCCTGTGTGTCCCTCAGCACATAACTTACCTTCCTTGAACCTGTTTCCTTGTGTTTAAATTGGAATAATAGTAACACGTATCTCAGAGGATTGTCACATAGATTACACTAAATAATATGCATAGAGTCCTTGGCATACTATCTGGCCCAATAAATATTATTATAGTTATTCCGTGATCTGATGTAATCAGTTTTTTATTTTGAGACAGAATCTCATTTTGTAGCCCAGACTGTGCACAGTGGCATGATCTCGGGTCACTGTAACCTCCGCCTCCTGGGTTCAAGCAATTCTCCTGTCTCAGCCTCCCAAGTAGCTGGGATTAAAGGAGTGTGCCACTGTGTCCAGCTAATTTTTGCATTTTTTAGTAGAGATGGGATTTTACCATGTTGGCCAGACTGGTCTTGAACTCCTGGCCTCAAGTGATCCGCCTGCCTCAGCCCCACACAGTGCTGGGCTTACAGGCATGAGCCATGGCACCTGGCCTGATATAATCTTTTTAATTTGAAAAATCTGGTGTGAGAAGGTAAATTGGAAAGGATGACAGCAAAACTGCTATAACACAAAGGCCCCAAAACACAGTAGCATATAGAAAACAGAAGTTTATTTCTCACTTAGTCTTGGAGGAAGCGGTTCCAGACAGCAGGCAGCTCTGTTCCTCCTAGTCAGTCAGGGATGTGTGTTCCTTTCATACCTTTGCTTTGTCTTCTCTTAGGGATGTCTTTTCAGTTGCCTGGTCAAACCTGTCTCAGGCACATCTGCCCAGCTCATGAAAGAGAGAACACAAAGGAGAATTTACCCAATCCATCAGGCTTTGAGGACATGCTCACCTCACATTCCCCTGTGTCTACACCTGGCAATAAGAGCAGCTGGGAAATGGAGTGTCCAGCTGGGTGTCCCTCCACCCTCGTGCTGCAAGGAAAGAAGAGATTTTAGTGGATAATGGGCAGTCTTAATCCAGGGCTCAAACCCACACCTGAGCTGTCCTCTTCCTCTTCTCTTCCCAAAGGAAGGGAAATAAAGTCTACAGCCCAGAAAACAATGTGACCACCCATCCCCTACCCAATCAGGTCCCTGCCATTCATCCCAAGATCAGCTGTCTTTCTTGGGAAAGTGGCTTGGAAGCCTCTCTCCAGAAAGACCACCATTCTGTCCATCTTCTTCTCATGGGTGGATGCGAGAAAAGTTTCTGTCCCCACTGCCTGCTTGCCACTCCCTGTCTCAGTTTCAGCTCACGCTCTAGCCCTTTGTTCCCAGTCACCAAGAGTGACTACAAATGCGGGGGAACAGGAGGACTTGAAACAGTCATGGAAATCGAGACTGGGACACAGAAGCCATGCTCAGAGGCAGCGTAGGTGAGGGTTCTGATGCCAGGAAATCCAGCTACTACTGTGTAACCTAAAGCGGGGATTAAGCTCTCAGAACTTCAATGAACTCTTTTGGAAATAGGGATAAGAAACCCACTTGTCAGGGCTGTTGTGAACATCAAATGTGATCATGTATGTACCCAGTACATAGTATGCCTTCAATAAATGGTAAGGCAAACCCAAGGCAAATTGAATTCATGTCCATTACTCTGACCCAGCCTTTGCATAAATTCTTTTTTCTTCTCCTTCCTTGTCAATGCATGGCTCCCTCCCTCTTCTTTACTTCCTATCCTCATTCTCCTACCATCTGAACCCTGATGTGGAATCTCTTTCCTCAGGAAATCTTCCATGATTGAAACATTCCTGCTTGGCCACTTCCCACTCCAATACTCTATCTTTGCCCATCTTACATCTACCCCATGGTCCTGGCCCAAGTTTACACGTGTCCCATTTCTCCCTTCAAAAAGCATGCAGCAATGGAAGGGCTTTAAGTTTGCCATCAAGCAGATCGGAGTTCAGATGCCAACTCTGCCAAGTTCTAGCTTTAGGACTTTGTCAGATCACTTCCCCTCTTTGAATCTCTGTCTTCCCAACCCTCTGGAGAGGTCAAGTGTGTGTGGGCTGGTACATAAAGGATATTTAATCTCCTCTGCTCTACCCAACCTCCCCCAACTCACACTCCCAGGACTAACTCTCTACTAAAGGGAGTTATTAGACCAAGAAAGTAATTCTCCCATTACCAGCCCCACCCCAACCCAAGAGCTAGAGCAGAGGAAGGACTTGGATATCCCAGATTCCAGGGTTATAGGATCTCTCCCCAAGCCCTCATATGCAGCCCCAGTTGCAGGACTAGCTTCAGGGATAAGAGTGAAAGAGTTGATCTGATTCCAATCTTAGCCTGTAAGTAGTAGCTCACCTGTGCCTCTATTTTCAACCTTCCTAGATCAGAAGAGCAACAATATCAGTGACAACTAATGCTTACATAGTGTCTCCTATGGGATGGGCATTGTTCCAGGCTCTTCGTACATATAACTCATTTAATCCTGACAGCAGCCTTTGAGCTAGGTACTATTAACCCCGTTTTACAGACAAGGAAACTAAAGCACAAGGGGTTAAGTAACTTGCCTAGGTCATACAACTCACATAAGGCATGACTGAGATTCAAAACCAGGCCGTCTAGCTCCAGAATCCATCCTGTTAACCACTCTGCCATAAAAAGAGCTAACATTTACTGGCAGGTTCTATGTGCCAAGCACTGTGGAAAACACATGGCATGTATTTCCTCTAATTCCAAATAACCCCCTGAGATAAGTTCTATTATTAGTATCCCTGTTTTACAGGTCAAGAAACTGAGGCAGAGAGAAAAGTTAAGCAACTTGCCCTGAGTCACACAGTTAAATATTAATAGTTTCAGAACTCCTGGCTGTTTTGCCTCAAATCCCACCTCCCCACCCCTGCTCAAAGCCCCTCCCCTTCTAGGTGTGTTGTTTAGTTCCTATCACCAGTTCTTCACAAATCGGCTTTACCCCCCACAGCCTACAACCCTTGTCCTCCAAAACTCTTGTTGACCTCCGTCCCTTTCCCTTCCCACTTTCTCCCTAGACCCTCTGCTCCCCACAAAGTCCCCCAAACCATTCTGTCCCTCTCCCTCTGCTCCCCACCCACCCTCCCCCACAACTCCTGCTGAAACAGATGAATTTCACCAAAAAAGACCATCAGACCTTCCCCAAGCAGACCCCCACTGTGCCTGATCGCACACCCCCAGGGGAGGCACCACAGTGGCTAAGCTGAAGAGCCAGAAATAAAATCCTCATTCTACTTCCCTGCCCTCTCTTCCCATCACTCATCTGGGAATCCAGGGCGAAGAAGGGAGCTAAAGTGCAGAGCATTCATTTAATATTAACAAATTGAAATGAATTCTTTTAATGCCAATTAACTTGGAGCAGCCCCTTATTAATAGTAATTTAGATTCATACTTGGGAGAAGCAGGGATGAGGGCTGGGCCAAATGTGCCCAGAATGTCAATGTGACTGGGGAACTGAAAGGGGAGGGGTGGCAGTTTTACTTCTGCCCAGTTGGGTTCTGTTTCCCTGAGAGAAATGGACAGTCACTGGAGGCGGATCTTTGGGAAACACAAATTACTCTTGTAAGTTTATTTTTGTTACTTCAAGGAATCTGAATAGTTTGAAGCCATGTCACACCATTTTAAGAGTTTATTTTCACAGTAATGCTAAAAAGAAGAATTTCCTCAGAGCTGGGATTTACTTCAAACTCTCTCCTAAGCCAAACCTTACTGACCAAAGGGACAAGTCCCCAGGCCAGCTCTCTACCCTTCTTTGTTCAGAGCTAGAGCCAGAGATCAATATGGAAGCCCAATTGATCTGCCCCTTCTAGCTTACCCAAAACTAAAGGGAAGAATCAACACTCTGTGTCTCTCTGAAAAGTCTCCCTCAGGAGATAAAAGATCCAAAAGGGCTGACCCCTAAGCTAACAGCTTACATTTAAGGAAGAAAAACAATCTGCCTGCACTTTTCTTAGAATTTAGGGAAAAATGAGAATTTAAAATTCAATTTCATGTATCAGAGTTCTCCAGAATACAGCCAAGTGGAAATAACTTAGTCCCAAATGAAAAAGTTGAGCAGAAATTCTGCTCTCACTTGTTTTGCCGGCTTGGAGGTCAGACTGGAGGTGTCCTGAACTAGAACCAGAGCATAGGTTCTGACCCAAGAAGGACACTGTCTACTTCCCAGGCATCCCTCCTTGGCTGGGAGGAGAGGGGAGGATGAGTCCATTGGAAGCTGAGAATTGTGGAAGCTGGGGATGGGAGTTTTGAGATGGAGGAGGCAGGCGCGTGAAGGAGGTCAGGGAAAGGCAAGTAAATCTACTAACCATTGCAGTTTATAAAACAAAAACCTTAAAAATGGTTTAACATGCAAAAGGTTAAATTTTAAAAAGAGGCCAGGTTTTAAAGAAGGTAAAATACCTCAAATTTAGACATAATAAAAATGAGGAAAATACTCAAAACATTTCAAGCAAATTGTTCTTCAGAAGAGGAGAGGTTGGAATTAATCAAGAGACCTTTTTTACACCCCCCCAAGAGTTTCCCAAACAATAAATTCATTTACAAAACAAAAAGAGGAATCAACACAAAACCTCATCCACATACAGAGAAAAATAAATTGTGGTGATTCTGTAACAGCTGAAAAACTAGTGACGGAGGATGAAAATTAATAAACTCTAAATCCATTAGGTGATATTTATAAATAGCAAAATTGGAGGATGGAATGGAGAAAGGAGTTGAACTTATCATTAAAGAAGTAACACATGTGAAAACATAAGGTGTAACTCATCCCCAAAGAAAAGTAAACTCTCCATAAAGTAGCAAGTATAGAAATTTATTGAAAAGGAGGAAAGTACCACTCACCCCCCCATATAAGTGTATTAATTTGAATTAAAATTTTCTCCAAATCCGAGATAGGTTACACAAAAGAACACAAAAAGATTTTTTTTCTTTCAACTAAGAGGAAAAACAAAATCCGATTTAAATTCACTAATGGGACAGGAAGGGAGGCTGTGGTTTGCAGGTGCTGGTAAACGGGATGAGGGTTGTGAAGAGTTTGAGGGGTAGAGGACCAGCTTACCTCGCTTTGGAGCCGCAGCGGCCAACAGGAGTGGGCAAAGGACCCTGCCAGTGCCTGAGTGATAGGGGAAATAAGGAATAGGGGATTCGGGTGCCCCTAGTCGAATGAGGAGGATGGAAAGACTGGGGGTGCCCATCTCCCCTCCTCTGCCCACCTCCCTCCCTCCGGTACCCAGGCCTAGAGAGCTACTGAAAGTTACAAATTGCTTCCATTATTAGCTCATCCCGGGCGGCCTGGTCATTGGCCAGCCCCTGGCCACGTGGCCCCTCGTACCACTCGATCGAATTTCTAGTCACAATTCTCTGTCTGTCCCTCAGCTCTGGGGAGAAAGTGGGGGCTGTGGCATGGGGGCTGAGGTCCAGTTTGGGGCGGGGTGGGAGAGGAGTCCTTGAGTATCCTGTCCCAGGGCCAAACCCTCAGAAGTCCAATCTTCAAGACCTCCTTGAGCCGACTTCCACAGATGGAGGGGGATCTTCAGGGTGCCTGCTGGGTTCTCAGGACTCCTCTTCAGATCCTAGTTTGGACCCCTCCGGGTTAGAAAGGATGGGCTCAGCACATCTGGTGAGGCAGGCAGGTCGTCGCTGCAGCACAGAATGATCCCATGGCCCTCAAGGCGTGGTGTCAGCTGAAAGTTCACTGATCCGTGAGCCCTCTGCCTCCCTCCTCCGTTGAAAGAGCAGTGGCGTGCCCCGCTTCTAAAAGCCCTGGGGCTCCTGCAAGCGGACACCGCTTTCCAGGACAGGTGCAAACAGGGACGGTGCGAAGCCGAGGTGGAGACAATGCGATCACGCCTGGCACTGGCGTATCCCACAGCAGATGGTGTGAATGTGCATCACCAGAGGCATATGGGGTGATGGCGAAACCAACAATGGTGTCCAGGCATGTGCCCGGTGAAAAGGGGGAACAAGTGGCCTTTCCCTGAGTGCCAAGGGAACTCAAAGAAGACCTGGGAACCTGGACGGGGCCTTTCCCTCAGTCCAAGCCACATTTTGAAATGCCTGCCAGAGGAGCACAGAGGTTTCTGCAACATTCACCCCACCCCGAAGCCTCCACCGCCCAGGTAGCCCTGACGCAACCTTCCCGGCACCCGGCCCCAACCCCATCCCCAGGCCCAGCCCAGTTCCTTTGGTTTCCTGACATTCGTTACAGACAAAAGATTCAGGGAATCAGTCCACCTATGAGCAGAGGAGAAGATATCCCTCATTTGTGAGACAGGACGTGCAAAGGAAATGGGACACCACCTGTCCTAGAAGACAAGGCCAGTCATGATCACCTAGCGCTCATTCTAGGCAATCCACCCACCAATAAGGTGAAACAAGGAGACCAAAGAAGCTTCCCTGTCTGAGACACGCATGGAAGCCAAGTGTTCCAGGCTTATCAGACCTGCCCAATCCAGCAGAAACAGGTTTGGAGAGAGAAAGAGTCATGTCGCGGATCTCCAGAAAGTGTCTCCCTGATGGACTGGGAAGCGATCTTCGTAGAAGTTATTCAGCCAGACCAAGAGGCAACTAGGCCCCTCAGAAACAGGGGAGACAGAGCAAGAGGGAGGACAGAGCACAGGCCAGAGCCCAGGCAGGTTAAAGAACCTTGCCACCGCCACGGGCATAAGGGGAGGGGTGCGAAACGCATGACTTGTCCAGAGAGGCCAGCATTCCAGGGACAGGGATTGTTGCTGTCTCCCATTCCAGGCTTCCTCTTCAGAATTGTATCGTGGTGTGGCTTCATTGCTCAGAGAAGAGCCGTGCAGGGGTACAACCATCTTCTTGGAGGTGTGTCTGCTCCTCTCCTGCCGGACAATGAGCTGCTGAGGGGTTTTGTCCTGGGTTGGAGTGTGGTCCTCTTGATCCTAGAAAAGAGGCCGCTCAGGATGGGGATGAGACTTCGATTGCTCCGGGACCGACGCATCTCCTCACGTGATCGAGGACTTCACAAACCCAAAGTGGAACCGCCGTGAAAATGATGGACAACTGGCCACGGGACCCAGGCAGAGACGCAGAAAGAGGCTCAACAAAGACTGGCCGACATGCAAAAAATCGCATTTTGGCAAACAGAGCACATTCGTCCAAAGACACACACACACGGGCATACAAACACAAACACACACACACACACAGACCAACAGAGAGAAGGAAAGAAACACACAGAGGGTGAGAGACAGAGAAGAGAGAATGGGAGACACACACACACACAGTCCTACAGTGGTGGCACAGAAACACACATTCCCAGGCAACCCCTGAGGTTAACTAATAGTGGAAAATATGTATCTAAGAATACACTTGGAACAGAAATGTGAAAAACCGAAAGTAAGAGATATTATGAAGGAGCAAATATAAAATGACCCAGTGCTAAAGAAGCAACAAAGAAAATTGTAGAAGAAAATGACAAGAGGCATTGTGCCTTAATGAGTTTGTGCTTCTATATAAGAAAATACACTAGGCTGGGTAATTTCTGAAGAACAGAAATGTATTTCTCACAGTTCCATAGGCTAGAAGTCCAAGATCCAGGTGCCAGCAGGATTGGTGTCTGGTGAGGGCCTGGTCTCTGCAACCAAGATAGTACCTTGTGCACTGTGTCTTCAGGAGGAGATGCACTGTGTCCTCACATGGCAGAAGGCGGAAGGGCAAAACAGGGGAAGCCCACTCCCTCCAGTCCTTGTGTAAGGATCCTACACCCATTTGTGAAGACTCTCCCTTCATGACTGAATCACTACCTAAAAGCCCTACTTCCTAATCCTATGACATTGGTGATTAATTTTAGGGGGACACATTCAGAGCATAGCACCCTATATTCAATTTCTTAAAAATTATTTTGTTGTTTTGCTTTTCTGTTTTTCAAATGGCTTAAAGTGCACAAAATTGGATTAATCATAATCCTTGGCTCATAGTACACCTTGGCTCCTATTTCACCCTTGTCTGTGCCTGGGTCTCTGTGTAAATGTATTTGAACAATATGGTAATCACTTGTGAACTTACAACACAACCAAAGAACTAGGGTTCTGACCCTAACATCTGCTCCTCCTCTGTCCTTTTTCTTGATTTTCACCCTTCAGCCCGAGGGTAACTACTACCCTGAATTTATGTTTAGGATTCTCTTCCTTTAAAAAAACACATTGTTTTACTGCATACATATGATTACCCTAAATGACATGTTACTTAGTTTTTAAGGGTATAATTTATTTACCCATTCTCCTATTAATTTACCCATTCTCCTATTAATGAACATTTGGCTTATTTCCAGATTTTTCCTCTTATGAATGACATTACATGAGCCTTTTTTTTTTTTTTTTTTTTTTTACTACATCTGGTACATATGGGCAAGAGTTTCTCCAGGGCCTATGGTAGAGAAATTACTTTGCCATAACATATGAGAATGCTCAAATTTATAAGATAATCCAAATTGCTTTCCAAAGTGGTTGTTCTAATTTAAACGCTCACCTCCTGTGTTAGTTTGAGATGATCTTGTTGATCCACAGTCTCTCCATATATGGTGATATGGTTTGGCTGTGTCCACACCCAAATCGCAGCTTGAATTCTATCTCCCAGAATTCCCACATGTTATGGGAGGGACCCAGGGTGAGGTAATTGAATCATGGAGGCCAGTCTTTCCTGTGCTATTCTCATGATAGTGAATAAGTCTCATGAGATCTGATGGGTTTATCAGGAGTTTCTGCTTTGGCTTCCTCCTCATTTTCTCTTGCTGCTGCCATGTAAGAAGTGCCTTTTACCTCCTGCCATGACTCTGAGGCCTCCCCCACCATGTGGGACTGTAAATCCAATTACAGTTCTTTTTCTTTACACCTCTTTTTCTTCTCAGACTTGGGTATGTCTTTATCAGCAGTGTGAAAACAGACTAATACAGTAAATTGATACCAGTGGAGTGGGGTGCTCCTGAAAAGATACCCAAAAATGTGCAAGCAACTTTGAAACTAGGTAACAGGCAGAGGTTGGAACAGTTTGGAGGGCTCAGAAGAACACTGGAAAATGTGGGAAAATTTGGAACCTCCTAGAGACTTGCTGAATGACTTTGACAAAAATGCTGATAGTGTTTTGAACAATAAGGTCCAGGCAGAGGTGGTCTCAGATGGAGATGAGGAACTTGTTGTGAACTGGAGCAAAGGTAACTCTCGTTATGTTTTAGCAAAGAGAATGGCAGCATTTTGCCCCTGTCCTAGAGATTTGTAGAACTTTGAACTTGAGAGTGATAATTTAGGGTATCTGCTGGAAGAAATTTCTAAGCAGTAAAGCATTCAAGAGGTGACTTGGGTGATGTTAAAGGCCTTTGGTTTTATAAAGGAAGCAGAGCATACAGTTTTAGAAAATTTGCAGCCTGACAATGTGATAGAGAAGAAAATCCCATTTTCTGAGGATAAATTCAAGCTGTCTGCAGAAATTTGCATAAGTAACAAGAAGCTGAATGTTAATCCCAAAAACAATGGGGAATATGTCTACAGGACATGTCATAGGTCATCACAGCAGCCCCTCCCATCACAAGCCCGGGACCTAGGAGGATAAAATGGATTTCTGTGCTGGGCCAGGTTGACTGTGCTGTGTGTAGCTTAGGGCCTTGTTTCTCTGCGTTTCAGCCCCTCCAACCATGGCTGAAAGGGGACAACATAGAACTCAGGCCATGGCCTTGAGAGTGCAAGCACCAAGCCTTGGCAGCTTCCATGTTGTGTTCAGCCTGCACATGCAGAGAAGTCAAGAACTGAAGTTTGGAAACCTCCACCTAGATTTCAGAGGATGTTTGAAAACACCTGGATGTCCAAGCAGAAGTTTGCTGCAGGGGTGGTGCTCTGATGGAGAACCTCTGCTAGGGCTGTGCAGAAGAGAAATGTGGGGTCAAAGCCCCTATACAGAGTCCTTACTGGGGCACTTCCTATTGGAGCTGTGAGGAGAGGGCCACTCTCTTCCAGACCCCAGAATGGTAGATTCACTGACAGCTTGCACCATGAGCCTGGAAAAGCTGTGGACACTCAACATCAGCCCATGGAAACAGCCACGAGGTGGGCTATATCCTGTAAAGCCACAGGGGAAGAACTACTCAAGGCTGTGGGAGCCCACCTCTTGCATCAGCATGACCTTGATGTGAAACATGGAGTCAAAGGAGATCATTTTGCAGCTTTAAAATTTGACTACCTTGCTGGATTTTGGACTTGCATGGGGCCTGTAACCCCTTTGTTTTGGCAAATTTCTCCTATTTGGAACGGCTGTATTTACTCAATTACCTGTATCCCCATTGTATCTAGGAAGTAACTAGCTTGATTTGGATTTTACAGGGTCATAGGCAGAAGAGACTTGCCTTGTCTCAGATGAGACTTTGGACAGTGGGCATTTGGGTTAATACTGAAATGAGTTAAGACTTTGGGGGACTGTTGGGAAGGCATGATCGGTTTTGAAGTGTGAGGATGTGAGATTTGGAGGGGCCAGGAGCAGAATAATATGGTTTGACTATGTCCCTACCCACATCTCAACTTGAATTGTATTGCTCAGGATTCCCATGTGTTCGGGGAGGGAACCAGGGGGAGGTAGTTTAATCTTTAGGGCCGGTCTTTCCCATGCTATTCTCGTGATAGTGAATAAATCTCACAAGATCTGATGGGTTTATCAGTGGTTTTGTCTTTTGCTTCTTTTGCCTCCTTCTCATATTCTCTTGCCACTGCCATGTAAGAAGTGCTGTTCATCCACCACCATAACTCTGAGGCCTCCTCAGCCACGTGGAACCCTTAATGCAATCAAGCCTCTTTTTCTTCCCTGTCTTGGGTATGTCTTTATCAGCAGTGTGAATATGGACTAATACATTTTGTATTGTCAAACTTCTTAATATTTGTGGAGAGAATAGATGTGTAGTATCTTGTGCATTTCCCTGATTACTAATGAGGTTGAGAAAATTTTTATGTTTTGCAGGCTTTCTCTTTTGTGAAATCCCTATGAATGCATTTTCCCAATTTTCTGTTGGGTTGCTATTTTTAAAATTAGAAATAACTGTCATCAATCCAAAAGCTTACACATGGCAGATCCCTTCACACCAGTTCACAGTACAAAGTAACTCCTTGCTTGTAGAAAACATTATTATTATCATTATTATTTTTGAGATGGAATTTGACTTTTGTAGCCCAGGCTGGAGTGCGATGGTGTGATCTCGGCTCACTGCAATCTCTGCCTCCCAGGTTCAAAGGATTCTCCTGCCTCAGCCTCCCAAGCAGCTGGGATTACCGGTGCACACCACGATGGCCTGCTAATTTTTTGTATTTTTGTAGAGACAGGGATTCACCATGTTGGCCAGGCTGGTCTCGAACTCCTGACCTTAGGTGATCCACTTGCCTCGACCTTCCAAAGTGTTGGAATTACAGGCAGGAGCCACCACACCCAGACTAGAAAACATTATTCAATAGCAAACAGTAGCAGTATGCTTGGGGGTTTTACGATTGATTATTTTCAAATCTCTAGAAAAGCTCAATGCATTACCTTAGGCTATAATCTCAGGGCAGAGTCTCATCTGTTAATGTGGGGCTGGTCTAAGGGTCCTTCCACCTCTCAGATTTATGGTTTCCGATGTTAAACTGCTCTCTGTCACCCACCCATCCTCGGTTTTGTTTGTTTGTTTTTACAGAGATGAGGTCTCACTATATTGCCCAGGCTGGTCTTGAACTCCTGGCCTTAAGCAATCCTCCTGCCTTGGCCCCCCAAAGTGCTGGAGTTACAGATGTGAGCCTCTGTGCTCAGCCCATCCTTGGCTGTTCAAGTGTAGAGGTAAGTAGTAGATGCCAAGCTTACCTCCAGGTCAGAAGGGGCAGATGCCCCAAGGCAGAATCATAACCATAATAAGGCCTCCCACTGCATGAAGACATTATGTTCTGAAGCTTAAACCTGGACAAAGGTCTGACCAGTAGCACTGTGTTCATGAATGTCAGGTCAAAAATTTAAAACTGGGACTATCCAGAAGAACCTGGTAGATGCAGGTGCAGTCCACAGTCCAATGGTCAGCCTTGATAACAGGCCACCTGTACTTTCTCTTTATCATGGAGTCCTTGATGTAAAAATTGATGACACTTTCTTGCTTCTGGTGTGCTTCCCTTTCTTCTTCATTTTCCATAAGTAGTTTCCTCCATCCTGCCTCCCAACAGGCCACAGTCAATTCAGGACATTTTAACCATGAAAATGAGTCTCCATAACACAAATTTAGAGGCCAGACAGGGTGGATCACGCCTGTAATCCCAGCACTCTGTGAGGCTGAAGTGGGGGAATGGCTTGAGCTTAGGAGCTTCAGACCAGCCGGGGCAACATGGTGAAACCCTGTCTCTAACAATAAATAAATAAATAAATAAATAAATAAATAAATAAATAAAAGCCACGTATGGTGGTGCATGCTACTAGTCCCCGCTACTCAGGAGGCTGAGGTGGGAGGGTTGTGGGGCCAAGGAGGTCAAGTATGGAGTGGGCCAAGATCATGCCACTGTAATCCAGCCTGGGTAATGGAGTGAGACCTTATATTAAGAAAAAGAAAAAGATTTAAAAGACAGGCTGACTTTCTTCTTACAAGACAATGCTCATTTGCTATTCCATAAATCCTAGGGCACCTCTTAAGAATTATGCTAAATCTACACTACCCGAGCTCTATAAATGGAACAACAACCCTTGGATGATATCAGAGCTGTTTACCGCATGGGTTACTGAGTATTTTAATCCCACTGTTGAGACCTACAGCTCCGAAAAAAAAGATTTATTTCAAATACTTCAGCTTTTTGACAGTGTACCTGGTGACTAAAGAGCTCTAATGGAGATGTACAGGGAAATGCAGGCTGGTTTCATGCCTGCCAATACAACATCTATTCTGTAGTCCATGGATTGAGGCATCATTTTGACTTTCAAGTCTTATTATTTGAGAAATATATTTCATAAGGCTGTTACTGCCACAGGTCATGATTCCTTCGATGGATCTGGGCAAAGTCAATTAGAAACCTTCTGGAAAGGATTCACTATGATAGATGCCACTAAGAACATTCATGATTCACCAGAGGAGGTAAAAATAGCAGCATTAATAGGAGTTTGGAAGAAGTTGATTCTGACCCTCATAAATGACTTTGAGGGGTTCAAGACCTTAGCAGAGGAAGTAACCACAGTTGTGGTGAAGATAGCAAGAAAACTAGAATTACAAGTGGAGCCTGAAGATGTGAGTGAATTGCTGCAATCTTTTTTTTTTTTTTTTTTTTTTTTTTTTTTTTTTTTTTTTTTTTTGAGATGGAGTTTTGCTTTGTTGCCCAGGCTGGAGTGCAATGCTGCGATCTCGGCTCACCACAACCTCCGCCTCCTGGGTTCAATTGATTCTCCTGCCTCAGCCTCCTGAGTAGCTGGCATTATAGGCATGTGCCACTGCATCCGGCTAATTTTGTATTTTTAGTAGACAAGGTGTTTCACCATGTTGGTTAGGGTGGTCTCAAACTCCCAACTGCAGATAATCCATCTGCCTCAGCCTCCCAAAGTGCTGGGATTACAGGCATGAACCACCACACCTGGACAAATTGCTGCAATCTTAATGGAAATAAATGGAATTAGATGGAAAAAAGTTTAGTCTGGGGCTCAGGATCGGCTCTCCCTTTACTATGACATTCGCGTGCAGGGCAACAAGGAATCAGAGAATTCTACACTCGACTTTGACCTTGTGGGTTATTATGGCAATATATTTATCATAATATACTGTGAATATTTATCAAAGTAGGAGAATAGAACATATTTAACTATTTGTTAGCTTCATTTATAACTCATAATTATTTAGACATAATGCAAATGTGGGCTGGAATTCACGTTCTGATTTTTTGTGGCCTTGAGCTAAGGAAAAGGGACCCAGGGAAATGGGCTTTATATGCTTGTATGGCTTCATGGAATCCCCAACTTCTTTAGCTTCTGTGACAACTCAAGATTGTTACTAAAATCCACTTTGTATTATCTTTAAAAACCAAGGGATATCATTTCTGCTTATATAATATATAATATTATAATACATATTATATTATGATAAAATATATAATATAATATAATTAATATAATAATATACAATATATAATATTATATATTATTATATAATGCTATATAATATATAATATATATAAAATAATATATTATTGTTGCTTGTTATGAATGAGGAAAGAAAGTGGTTTCTTGCGATGGAATCTACTCCTGGTGAAAATGCTGTGAACATTGTGGAAAGAACAACAAAGGACTTAGAATATCCCATAAACTTAGTTGATAAAAGGGTGGCAGGGTTTGAGAGAATTGGTTCCAATTTTGATATAAATTCTACTGTAGGTAAAATGCTACCAAACTGCGTAGTATGCTACAGCGAAATCTTTTGTGAAAGGAAGAGTCAGTCAACGCGGTAAACTTCATTGTCATCTTATTTTAGGAAATTGCCACTCCCTCTCCAGCCCTCAGCAACCACCACCTCGATGAGTCAGTAGCTATCAACATTGAGACAAGACCATCCAGCAGCAAAATGATGATGACTTACTGAAGGCCCAGATGATGGTTAGCATTTTTTGGCAATCACGTATTTTCAAAGTAAGGTATATACATTATATTTTAGACATAATGCTCTTGCACACTTAATTGACTACAGCAACTTAAACATAACTTTTTTTTTTTGAGATGGAGTCTGGCTCTGTTGCCCAGGTTGGAGTGCAGTGGTGCAATCTTGGCTCATTGCAAACTCTGCCTCCCAGGTTCAAACAATTATCCTGCCTCAGCCTCCTGAGTAGCTGGGACTACAGGTGCGCACCACCATTTTTGTATTTCCGGTAGACACAGGGTTTCGCCATGTTGGACAGGCTGGTCTTGAACTTCTGACCTCAGGTGATGCACCCGCCTTGGCCTCCCAGTGTGCTGGGATTACAGGCGTGAGCCACCATGCCTAGCAACATAACATTTATATGCACCAGAAAGCAAAAAATTTCGTGTGACTTGCAAAAAATTTCGTGTGACTTGCGCTGTTGTGACATTCACCTTATTGTGTTACCTAGAACCAAACCTGCAATATCTCCAAGGTGTGCCTGTATCCCTAGAAGCAGAGCTGGAGTAAGGACTTCGGTGTGGGTGGTTTATTTGGGAAGTGATTCCAAGAAGCAAGAGTCAGAAGTGGGAAGAGTGAGCCAGGCAAGAAAGAAAAGCCAAAATAATGGCATGCTATTGAGGCTCCTGCCATGCAGTTTTTTCTGCAGGACCTTCCGAGAGGCTCCAGAAAGTTATCCAGAACTGTCCACCTGAAACATGAGCCTGGAGCATTTGTCCACCTGTCCCACACTGGTTGAGGTCTTCCCCTGAGGCTGTTAACCTGCAAGTGTTTCTGGGCTGTATTTGTGCTCAGGCAAAATCCTACAATAATGGAGATTCCCTAGGGCAGAAAGTGTACCTTGAGTTTGCTGGCAGCACAAGGGAAGCCTGTGCTTCCATGGAACTTCCCACGGTGGCTGAGACTGAATGAAAGGTGAGGTGAGAAGACATGACGCAGGCGCCATTGCACTAAGCAATCATAGCCATTGATCTGGGCAAGAGGACCCCTGCCCTGAATCCTGTACTTGAGAAGGTGCCTCTCTGGCCCTCCACTGACTATACCCTGGCCCACTCAGAGCTTCACCCTCTCTTCTAGGGCACACGCTGGGCACTCAGGGCCCTGGCGAAATGTGCCTGAGCCTGCATGGCCTCTTCCCTGGGTCCATTTCAAAGTGCAAACTGTGCTTGTCCAAATGGTGCCCAAAGATCTGCTTTCTGAAGGGGTGAGAATTGTGGATGGAGCTTGCATGGGGCCTAGGGAGTTCCCCACACAAGGGTATGCAAAGCTTCTCAAGTGAGGACAGGGCTACCTACGATGAAAGAAAAAAGTTTAGCCTGGGGCTGAGGATCGGCTCTCCCTTTACTACCACATTCCTGTGCAGAGCACCAAGAAATCAGAGAATTCTACACTCAACTTTGACCTTGTGGGTCATTATGGCAGTATATTTATCAAAATAGGAGAATAGAACATATTTAACTATTTGTTAGCTTCATTTATAACTCATAATTATTTAGACATAATGCAAATGTGGGCTGGAATTCACGTTCTGATTTTTTGTGGCCTTGAGCTAAGGAAAAGGGACCCAAGGAAATGGGCTTTATATGCTTGGATGGCTTCGTGGAATCCCCAACTTCATTAGCTTCTGTGATGACTCAAGATTGTTACTAAAATCCACTTTGTATTATCTTTAAAAACCAAGGAATATTATGTAGATCAGTAGTTAGAAGGTACTTGACTCAAAATATGTATGAACCAAAGGATATAAATGACTAAAAGCAGGAGGATTATTACCTGAAGTAGTGGAGGGTTTATCTCAGGATATGACCTGTGAGATCTTTCCTGCTGGCTCAGTGCTGGCTGAACGGGGGGCAGGAGAGCACCAGGAACAACACATATCTGGGACAGGAGGGAATGCGGGAAGGAAGGAAAGAGAAATAGGCCTTTTTATTTTTATTGATACATGACAATTATACATATTTGTAGGGTACATGTGATATTTTGATACATGCATACAATGTGTAGTGATCAAATCAAGATAATTTGCATATCCATCACCTCAAACTTTTATCATTTATTTGTGTTGAGAACATTCCACATCTTTCCTCTAGTCATTTTGAAATATATAAGTTATTGTTAATGATCATCACCCTACTGTGCTATTGAACACTAGAAATTTTTCTGTTCCTTCAATCTAACTGTATTTTTGTGCCCATTAACCAACTTCTGGGAAGGGCAAAAGAGTGGGTAGATGAAAAGAGCCCTTTTTAAGGAAAAGTAAATCTTACAAGAAGGGAAGACATCTTAGGAGGAAAAATAAAAAGTGGACCATGGGCTTAGAGTAGGGACTGCAGAAATTGAATGGCAAAGAAAAAACCAACTTAGCAATGTGAAAATACATCTCAATGTCATTCTTTTCACAGGTCCAGTGTCTGATTCTTTTGGGAAGCTGGATATGAAGTCAGAATCTTTCTTTGAGTCTTACATTTTCATGATTATGATTATGATTGAATGATAGCTGACAGTTATTGACAGCAATTATTGAGGACAATTATTGAGCTTTCACAAGCCCTTTTCAAAGGTCTTTACATATATTTTCTCCACTTCTAACTGTTAGATATTCTTATTATTCCCATTTTGTAGATGAGGGATACACAGGCATAAAGCCTATGTGGAGGCAGAGAGCAGCTACGTAACCTGACCATGGCCCAACAGCAAACAAATGATGGGGCCACATGCAAATCCAGGCAGAACCCTTCTATTATATGAAGCTCAATGTTTTCTTGTTTGCAGCTTGTTATGAATACATCTATTTGCAAATGGGTTTTGAAGCTACTTTAAAACATTTTGTGGCTGTGCGTTGTGGCTGGCACCTGTAATCCCAGCATTTTGGGAGACCAAGGTGGGCAGTTTGCCTGAGCTCAGGAGTTTGAGACCAACTTGGCCAACATGGTGAAACCCTGTGCCTACTAAAAATACAAAAAAATTAGCCAGGCGTGTTGGTGTGCACCTGTAATCCCAGCTACTCTGGAGGCTGAGGCAGGAGAATCACTTGAACCCAGGAGAGGAAGGTTGCAGTAAGCTGAGATCATGCCACTGAACTCCAGCCTGGGCAACAGAGTGAGATTCTGTCTCCAAATAAAAAATAAATAAGATTGAATTTTGAGCTCCTGACCATATCCCTAGATTGTACTCATATGTATTTTGATGTCTAATAAGATTTATTCTCAGTGCATTTTTTAAGTGAAAGTATTTATTGAGCATCTACTGTATATCATGTGCTGAGATAGGCACCAGTGGTGCAGGGAACATATGGCACAGTCTCTGACCTCAGGTAACTTTCACTCTCATACATATGTATTAGGACACCAACACATGTGTGAATATAAGATAGTATGATAGATATTGCAACAAGTAATTATTTACTGTAAGCCTATTTTATAGGATTTTAAGCTTAAACTACTTTCACCCTATTTCCAAAAAAAGTATTGCATAACTTTAAATAGATTCTCAGTTTGAAATCATCATACAAACTGCAGTAGCATCTGCTGGTGAAATACTGCTTTGTATCTATTAGAATAGTCCAAACAATTGAGAGACAACTGCATTATTAGAGCTGTAAAAGTTATTGTCTAGAAATCTCAGAGAAGAAGAGGAAGTTCTATGGTAGATGAATAAGATGACATCTAAACTGTTCTCTTCAGCTACTGAAGTTCTGTGGATATCTCACAGCACAAAGTTCAAGTGTATGCCCACAGCTCCTCATGCCACAAGATGTGACACCTTTCCAATCTCTTTTTGCAAAAGTTTCCAGTTATGTATCTTTTAAGAGTACTTTTTATACCCACATATTCCGGATTTTGTGGTGCACGCAAAGACAAGATGGGAAGGGGCTTCCATTTGTTGATGCCAGCTGCTCCATGGACCAGGCCCTGCCCATGCATCCGTGTTGGTTCTTTTATCCCCACATCAGCCATAGCCCATAGGCATTAATTGCCATTGCACAGATGAGGAAATTGAAAGTCTAAGAGAATATGCAAGCTACCCAGAGTCATGCAGCTTGTGTATGTAAGGGTTGGAATGAAAATCCAATCTGTGAGTCCCAAGTCCCCTTCCACCATATGGTTTCCATTTCATTTTGCAATCAGCTTGGCTGGGATATGTCTGCCCTAAAAGATAGTAAGTAGGAATATTTTCTCTATACCTTAACCTGACATCCATGGGCTTGCTTTTTGTATTTGGAGGTGTCATAACATTATAATAATAATTTGATTTTATTTGTACAGTGGATATTATACTACTCAGTCTAGAGATTTATGACATCCCATTCTAAACTGGATGATAGCAATGAAGCTTCTTCAAGGAGACAAGTATGAGTAATAAGGTAGTAATAAGCTGAATTTCTATGGAGTTGCTACTTCTGAATTAAAACTAGTTGAGATTAAGTAGATATTCAAAAATATTGCTATAATCTTCACTTGAATAATACAAACATTTATTATTTTTACATATTTATTTATTTATGGAACATAGATGTAATTTTAAAACAGAATATTTGCAAATTGTATTAAAATATATTAACAGCATAATACATTATCACGCAATAGAGTTTTTCAAAGTAACTCAGTGTTAGTTTAAAATGTGAAATTCAATCAACATAATTCACCATAGAATACAGTGTGTATGTCAGTATAATATATATATATCAAAATTGGAAAGCAGTAAATTTATCTTTGTTTTGTAATAAGATGAAATTAAAATTTTAATGAATTTCAACTTTCATTTTAGATTTCGGAGGGTACTTTGCAGGTTTATTACATGGGTGTATTGTGTGATGCTGAGATTTGGGGTATGAATGAAGGTGTGAGTGCCTGTTTTGAACTTGCACCGAGAGCAATCTCCCCTGATCAGCAGAGGGTAAACTAACTTGAATTACACTTGAATTTTTTAGTAGAGCAGGTCACAAAGGGCAAATTGTAGTCCAGAGACAAAAGTGCTCGATGGTCTAAAATGAGCCTGCCATATCACTGAGGGTACAGGTCTTCACAGAAATATATTTCAGAAAGAGGTCAAACCCTTGTTTAAAGATAAATGTAAGCTGGGTGTGGAGGCACACGTCTATAATTCCAGCTACTCAGGAGGCTGAGACAGGGGGATCCCTTGAGTCCAGGAGTTTAAGACCAGCCTGGACAACATAGGAAGATCCCATCTCAATTTTTTAAAATGAGAAAAAAATAGATAAACTTAAGCATATTAAAATTTTAAAGAGTTTATTTAAGCAAACAGAGATTCATGGATCAGGCAGCTCCAAACTAAAAGTGGTTGGAGGATCTACTGGAGGTGTTTGTAAGGAAGGCTTTTATAGGGTGAGTATAGAAGTAGAGTAGAGAAATTATTTGATTGGCAAAAATGTGGGCAGTTGCATTATTTGAACTATCCTGGTGGTAGGTCTCTCATTACGCAGCTAATACTCAGCAGGCCACTTGTGGGTGGGCTAAGCTTGTTTCATTTTGTCTATGCAGGAACCCTGGCCATGGGAGCTATCTCAGCCTAATGCTCTCCCATTATGAAATTTTACACCTTCTTTCTGTATCAGGGTAAGTGGGGATCTTCCCCAGGAGGGTTCTTACCACCCTGTTTCCCTCAGCAAAATGAAACTGTCCCTTTTGCCTCTGTAGGCAACCTTCTGAACAAGGCATTCCTAATATTCTTATCTCATCTTATTTTATCTTATCCTCTTCTCTGTACCTTGTTTACATGCTTCTGGAACACTTGTGTGTCTTGCACCCATCTCCTGCATTATTTAGGCAATCCTAAAAGAAGGCCGCTAGGATGGATTGGAAGAGAACTGCTGGCATATTGAGCCCTCTCTCTTTGTATCTGGAGCTTTCATAATTACCTTAGTTCTCCATGCCAATTTTGCACTTAACTTTGTTCTCCACTTCAAAATACATTTACCTCTGACAGCAGCTGAGTTCATAAAAGGGACCTTGTCCAGTGGCACTTATGAGGCAGGAGACATGATATAGTTAAAATTATAAACTATAATCACTATATAGTTATATATTATATATAATCACTATATCACTCCAGGGTTGAAGTGATACTCCTGCCTCAGCCTCCTGAGAAGCTGAGATTACAGGCATGTGCCACCACACTCGAATAATCGTATATGTTTTAAAATAGGAATAGATTTTCTCAGCTAAACGGAAGGGAAATGCTAAGGAAAGAGTGAGATTTGACTTGATAATTATGTGTCTGAATGAATCAGCCAATTAATAAAATGAAAACAGGCCGGGACAGTGGTGCATGCCAGTCATCCCAGCAATTTGGGAGGCCAAGGTGGGCAGATCACTTGAGTCCAAGTGTTTGAGACCAGCCTGAGCAACATATCAAAACCCCATCTCTACAAAAAATACAAAAATTAGCCAGGTGTGGTGGCTCATGCCTGTAGTCCCTGCTACTTGGGAGGCTGAGGTAGGAGGATCACCTGAGACTGGAGATGTAGAGGCTGAAGTGAGCTGTCATCATGCCACTGCACTTCCAGCCTGGGTGACAGAGTGAGACCCTGTCCCAAAGAAACTAAACTAAAATGAAATGAAAACAAACACAAGACAAAAATTGATGGACTTATTTTAACACATAGCATGATGAACACACATAGATAACAATACTAACCCAATGGGTTTTTGTCAGTCAAACTCATGGTCACTAGTCTAAAGGAAATAGGAATAATGACTGTGAATTAACAACCATTTACAACATTAGAAATACAAAATACAAATTATCATCAGATATATCAGACTCACAATTATTTGACCTTTTAAGAATTCATCCTGCTCTCCATAATGAATAAGAAAATACTGATAACTCTTTTTTCCCTTAACTTAACCCTTTGTGCTCCTGAATCTCTGAATTTGTGTTTACATCTTAACACTCTTTTTTTGTAATTATTTTCTGCAGATTTTTTTCTCTTCACTTGAGGCATCTCTTATATTCTCTTTACACTTTTCCACAAATGACTCAATTTTTTTCGTAAGCTTCATTGATGAGTTCCATGTATGTGATGATAGTGTAATGATAAATTATCCATGTGGTTTCCCTCCAGTCTTGTTCATTATTCAAGTGACTCTCCTTGGTTTAGCAACAGGCTAGGAGGTAACTATGACATTTTGTTCAGGTTAAGCAGGAAGAAGAAAACAAAATCTACATTCTCTTTTTTATATTTTAAACACAAGCCAACAAATAATTTGGAAGGACCCATGATTAGACAGGGAGGATTTTATGCTCCTGCAAGAGTAATTGGGATTGTTTAATTGTATGGAGGAATGAGCATATCTCAAGGGGAATCGAGAATATATAATATTTGGATGACAGAATCATTAAGAACCGGCTTTGCACCCTGGCTACACCATTGCACATAGGAAATATTAGGGTGCAGGGGTGCATGCCTGTAATCCCAGCACTTTAGGAGGCTGAGGCAGGTGGATCACCTGAGGTCAGGAGTTCAAGACCAGCCTGACAAACGTGGTGAAACCCCATCTCTACTAAATACAAAAAATTAGCTGGGTGTGGTGGCACATGCTTCTAATCCCAGCTACTTGGGAGGCTGAGGCAAGAGAATCACTTGAACTTGGGAGATGGAGGTTGCAGTGAGCTGAGATAGTGCCATTGCACTCCAGCCTGGGCAACAAGAGCGAAATTCTGTCTCAAAAAAACAAAAAAATCACTGCCGCACCAACTTTTTCACATAGAATGATTAAGGATTCCAGAGCCCATGCTACCTCTAGGGGCTCCTACCCCTGCCACACCACACATATATCTTGACAGGGCCTGTTATAGAGAAGAAAAGGCCCAGTAAATTAATATCACAATCATTGCCACATACTCACCAAAAGACTCGAATTAAAATTTTGACAAAATTAAGTGTCAAGAAGAATGCGAAGATTTGGGAATTATCAGACATTGTAAGACTGTCAGTTGGTGTGTTAACATTGGGATGAAACCAATAATACCTGGTAAAACTGAAGATATGTTTACCCTGTAACCTGTGATTTCACCTCTTGGTTTATACTGTACATAAATACACACTAATGGTAACCAAATAGAAATACAAACATGTTCACAACAGCATCATTTGTAACTGACAAAAATGAACACAACCCACATGTCCACCAACAATGAAGGGATACACACTGGTGTACTGTAGTTTTATTTATTTTTATTTTTTATATTTATTTTATGTATATAAATATAAATTTATATATATTTTTTGAGACAGAGTCTTGCTTAGTTGCCCAGGTTGGAGTGCAGTGGTGCGATCTCGGCTCACTGCAACCTCTGCCCCCTGGGTTCAAGCAATTATCCTGTCTCAGCCTCCCCAGTAGTTGGGATTACAGGTATGTGCCACCACTCCCGGTAAATTGTTGTATTTCTAGTAGAGATGGGGTTTCACCTTGTTGGTAAGGCTGGTCTCAAACTCCTGTCCTGAGGTGATCCACCTATCTCGGACTCCCAAAGTGCTGGGATTACAGGTGGCAGGCACTGCGCTTGGGCTTTTTTTTTTTTTTTGAGACTATCACTCTATTGCCCAGGTTGGAGTACAGGGCGTGATCTTGGCTCACTGCAACCTCTATCACCTCCCAGGTTCAACTGATTCTCCTGCCTTAGCCTCTCAAATAATTGGGATTACGGGCACACAACACCACACCTGGCTAAATTTTTTTTTTTTAACAGAGTCTAATTCTGTCACCCAGGCTGGAGTGCAGTGGTGCAAACTTGGCTCACTGCAACCTCTGCCTCCCAGATTCAAGTGATTTTCCAGCCTCAGCCTCCTGAGTAGCTGAGACTACAGGCATGTGCCACTACACTTGGCTAATTTTTCTGTTTTTAGTAGAGATGTGGTTTCACCGTGTTCGCCAGGATTGTCTCCATCTCCTGACCTCGTGACCCACCTGCCTTGGCCTCCCAAAGTGCTGAGATTACAGGCATTAGCCACCACGTGCCCTAATTTTTGTAGTTTTAATAGAGATGGAGTTTCACCATGTTGGCTAGGGTGGTCTGGAACTCCTGACCTCAAGTGATCTGCCTGCCTCGACCTCCCAAAGTGCTGGGATTATAGGCGTGAGCCATCATGCCTGGCTGGTGTACTGTTTCAATAGAATGCAGAAACAATGCTAAGTGTGAATCTTAAATACTTAATATTGAGTAAAAGGCACCAGATGCACCAGGATACAGACTTTTACTCCAATTATGTAAGAGAAAAACCAGGCAAAATCAGACTTTACCTTAGGAATATAAAAAATGCATAATAAGGCCAGGCATTGAGGTCAGGAGTTCTAAACCAGCCTGACCAACATGCAAAACCCCATCTCTACTACAAATACAAAAATTATCCAGGCATGGTGGCACATGGCCCATGCCTGTAATCCCAGCCACTTGGGAGGTTGAGTCATGAGAATCGCTTGAATCTGGGAGGCGGAGGTTGCAGTGAGTCAAGATCATGCCACTACACTCCAGCCTGGGTGACAGAGCGAGGCTCCATCTCCAAAACGAAAAAAATATATAAAATACATAATAAAATTATAAAGAGAACCAAGGAGAGGATGGCAGATATCCACAGGTAATGTGGATATCTGTTATATCTGTTACTAATAAGGGGAAGAAAGACTTTAGGATCGGTTAGGGGCATAAGGAGGACTTCTCGGTGGTGATAGTGCTCTATTTCTTCACCTGGATAGGTATCACACAGACGTTTATTTAATAACTGATGTATCCATATCTTTGTCTGCATATTTTAAAATAAGAATGAAATAGAGGAAAGGAAGGTGAATGGAAAGAGATTTCTCCATTCATCAAAATTTTAAAGTCATGTTTTCCCTCAGGTTCTTCTCCAAGCTCAGTCTGAAATGATGAAAGCAGCCAAGCATGGTGGCTCACGCCTGTAATCTCAGCATTTTGGGAGGCTGAGGCGGATGGATCACCTGCGGTCAGGAGCTAAGACCAGCCTGGCCAACATGGTAAAACCTCATCTCTACTAAAAATACAAAAATTAGCTGGGCGTGGTGGTGGGCACCTATAATCTCAGCTACTCGGGAGGCTACAGTGAGCTGAAATCACACCACTTGACTCAAAAGAGTGAAACTCTGTCTCAAAACAAAACAACAACAACAATGACAAAGGAAACAGGAAAACATCCTCAATAATAGAGGACTTACCAAATTGGGTGCAGCCACTCATACTGTGTCTTGATTTGTAGATAAAGAAAATGATGACCCTCCCTAGGTACTGATTTAGAGTGACATTTCTGTGAAAATAGAGAAATGCTTACATATCCATAGAACACATATATGCATTTAAAATTGTATACAAGCATGACATATACATACATATTTGTGTGTATGGCATCTGCATCCTTGTATGTTTAAATACGATCTGGCAGTTGCATTCTTTGGTATATACCCAAATATTTGAAAACTTATATCCACTCAAATCCTGCACATGAATGTTACAGCAGCTTATACACAACTGACAAAGATTGGAAGTAACCAAGATATCCTGCAATATAGAAATGGATAAACTAACTCTGAAACATTCATACAATGGAATATTCTTCAGAAATAAAAAGAGATGAACTACCAAGGCATGAAAAGACATGGAGGAATCTTAAACATGTATTTCTAAGTGAAAGAAGCCAATACAAAAAGGCCACATAGTATAGAGTTCCAATTATATGGAATACTAGAAAAGGCAAAACTAGGCAGATGGTATTATAAAAAGTTCAGTGGTTGCCAGGGGCTTGAGCAGAGGGAAGGAAGAATAGATGGAGCACAGAAGATTTTTAGGGCAGTGAAACTTTTCTGTGTGACCCTATAATGGTGGATATATGTCCTTAAGCATTTGTCAAAGCCCATGAATGGTAGAACATAGAGAGTGAATCTTAATATTGGCCGTGAACTTAATAATAGCAATATTGGCTCATCAAGCATAACAAATTACCACACTAACAAGATGATAATAGAGGAAGTGTGTGTACTATGGTGTGAGGTGGATATTAGAGCTCAATATGCCTTCTGCTCTATTTTTGTGTATACCTACAACTGTTCTAAAAATTAAGTCAGTTATTTATTTATTTATTTATTTTTATTTATTGAGATGGAGTCTCACTCTGTCACCCAGGCTGGAGTGCAATGGCCCAATCTCGGCTCACGGCAACCTCTGCCTCCCAGGTTCAAGCGATTCTCCTGCCTCAGCCTCCTGAGTAGTTGGGATTACAGGCACCAGCCACCATGCTTGGCTAATTTTTTTATTTTTAGTTGAGACGGAGATTCACTGTGTCAACCAGGATGGTCTTGATCTGCTGACCTCATGATCCTCCTGCCTTGTCCTTCCAAAGTGCTTGGATTACAGGCATGAGCCACCGCGCCTGGCCTTATTTATCTTTTTAAGACAGGGTTTAGCTCTGTCACTCAGGCTGGAGTGCAGTGGTGCAATCATGGCTCAATGCAGCCCCAACCTCCAGGGCTCAAGTAACCCTCCCACTTCAGCCTCCTGAGTAGCTGGGACCACAGGCATGTGCCACCATGCCCAGCACATTTCTTAGACCTCTGAAAAGATGCTCAACACCATATGTCACTAGGGGATTCAAATTAAAACAACGATGTGATACCATTACACATCTCTTAGACTGGCTTGAATGCAAACACCAACACCAAATGCTGGTGAAGATATGGAGTAACAGGAATTCATCTCTATTTCCGCTGAGAATGCAAAGTGGGACAGCCACTGTGGAAGGCAGTTTTTCAAGTTCCTGCCAGACTAAACATATGCTTACCATAAGTTCTGGCAAAAAAATGAAATTTTAAAAAAAATATTTTATATACTTGAAACATATACATTTAAATAAATATATATTTTATATATATTTTAAAATATATGTAGTTTTATTTTTTGTAGAGACAGTCTCTACAGACCATAGCCTGCCGAATCTATTAATTTTAAAAGCATTTTAAATTCTTGAACAAGAAATTATTTGAAGAGTGAAAAATAAAATGATAGAGTATTGACTGGTAAATTCCAAATGTTATATATTACATAATTTGGATTAATTTTAAATTCCAAAAAGTGAAACTTTAAAAAATATTTAAAAAATTTCCTAATCCGAGGTCAATCCTAGTTCAACACATTCAAGAGCTGATTTCAGAGGAGAGATAAGTCAACAAGTTCTTAGGTTTTGACTTTGTTTTCCAACTATTTGTGTTTGTGAATGGTGAATTTTTAGATTTTGTTCCTTTCTTCTTAGGGTATTGACTAATATTTTATTAAGCCAGAGAGACAGTAAATTAGAATTATCTGTTTGTCCATTTTATCTGTTATAAGTATTTCCTCCAAATTCACTTATCTAAAGTTTTTGGTTTATTTAGTCAGGTGCAGTGGCTCACGCTTGTAATCTCAGCACTTTTGGAGGCTGAGGTGGGGGATCACTTGAGTTCAGGGGTTCAAGATCAGCCTGGCCAACATGGCAAAACCCGGTGCCTACTACCATACAAAAATTAGTTGGGTGGTGGGTGTTTTGGCTCACTCCTATAATCCTAGCACTTTGAGAGGCCAAGGTGGGCAGATCACCTGAGGTCGGGAGTAAAGAAACAGAGAGTAAAGAATTTCTGAAACCAAACAGTCTGAGAACAGCTGCTCAATATATTCATTCAACAAATATTTGTCTCCTTACCATGTGCATGGTACAGTTCTAGGCTCTAGGGATAAATAACATTGAACAAAATTGACAATATCTCCTGCTCTCATCAAGTTTACATTCTAGTGGACATAATGTAAGAACAGAAATGATTTGTCAAAAAGCAGTCCGGGCACAGTGGCTCATGCCTGTAATACCAACACTTTGGAAGGCCGAGGCAGGGAGATCACTTGAGGTCAGGGGTTCGATATCAACCTGGCCAATATGGTGAAAACCTGCCTCCACTAAACATACAAAAATTAGCCAGGGCTGGGTGTGGTGGCTCACCCCTGTAATCCCAACACTTTGGGAGTCCGAGGTGGTTTGGATCACCTCAGGTAAGGAGTTCAAGACCAGCCTGGCCAACATGGTGAAACCCCATGTCTACTAAAATACAAAAAAAAAAAAATGTTAGCCAGGCATGGTGGCAGATGCCTGTAATCCCAGCTACTTGGGAGGCTGAGGCAGGAGAATCACTTGAACCTGGGGGGTGGAGGTTGCAGTGAGCCGAGATCACACCAATGCACTCCAGCCTGGGTGACAGAGCGAGACTCCATCTCAAAAAAAAAAAAAAATATTTTAAGTGCTATGGAAAAAAAGGGAAGTGGTAAATAGTTTCAATTTCAGATAGGATGATCTCTGACAAGGCAAGAATCATGTTAAGACATGAAGAAAATTAACACAATGATCCTTACAGGTATATGGAGAGAGAGCTTCTTTTCTTTCCTTTCCTTTTCTGTTTTATTTATTTATTTATTTTTTAGACAGAGTTTCACTCTTGTTGCCCAGGCTGCAGTGCTATGGCAGCATCTCAGCTCATTGCAACCCCCACCTCCCGGGTTCAAGTGATTCTCCTGCCTCAGCTACTCTCCCAAGTGAAAGGTGACCAAGAGAGCCATTGAAAATAGTGAGATTGGCCGGGTGCAGTCCCAGCACTTTAGGAGGCTGAGATGGGTGGATCATGAGGTCAGGCGTTCGAGACCAACCTGGCTGAGAGGGTGAAACCCCGTCTCTACTAAAAATACAAAAATTAGCCAGGCATGGTGGCATGCCTCTGTAATCCCAGCTACTCCGGAGGCTGAGACAGGAGAATCACTTGAATCTGGGAGGTGGAGGTTGCAGTGAGCCCAGATCATGCCACTGCACTCTAGCCTGGGTGACAGAGCAATATTCTGTCTCAAAAAAAAAAAAAGAAAAGAAAAGAAAAGAAAAGAGGAAGAAAATGGTGAGAGCACCGTGTTTGAAAAGTGGTCCAGGCACTAGGGTAAGGGGTGAGTGTCAGCCAAGTCATCAGCTATCAGGACAGGAAGCCATCAGGTAATATATCAAGTTGATATATTGAGAAGGAGCTGGTTCTACCTATTATATAATATAGAGATAAGCACTCAGATATATAGATTAGAAATAGTTTAGAAAATTTAGACATTTGATTATTCAGGAAGCAGACCTGGGAGGATTGGAGAAACAGGGTGGGGGAGTAGACTGCATGGAAAGCTCTTTCTTAGTTTGTGATTTTTCATTTATGCACATAGGTTTCTTACATAACATGGAAAATTCAACTGAAGAAGAAACAACATTGTGTTCTGAGGTCCCAAAGGTTTAGTGATTAATTAGAAAGACTCACAAAACCGAGTGAAGCTGTTTTACTCATAGTTTATTACAACAAAAAGATACAGATTAAAATCAGCAGCAGAAAAAGGTGCACAGGTCAGAGTCCAGGAGAGACAAAGCACAAGCTTCCAGTTGTCCTCTCCAAGTGACATCATGTGGACAGTGCTTAATTCACCCAGCGATATGTGGCAAACAGTATAGAATATACTCCCCAACAAAAAGCTTACCTGAGCCTTGGTGTTGAGCATTTTACTGGAGGTTGGTCACATGGACAAGAGCACCCATTTGGATGACATTAGTTTCTCTGTCTCCACCCTTCCCAAGGTCAAGCTGACACTGCATGGTCCAAGGTCCCCATAATAAATCACGTTGTTAACTCCCAGATAGGCAGGAGAGTCCAAGGACTTAGAGGTTATTTCCCAGGAACTAGGATAGAGTCACACCATTCTTTGGAGTATGCCAGGTTTGGGCAATTCAGGCCTACTAAGTTTCCTTGACTGCACACAAGTGATAGTATGTAGGAAATGAGTAGTCGCATATATTGCTGGTGAAAGTACAGTGTTATATAAACCTTTGGAAAGAAATCAAGTGTGTAGCACATAAACATTATATTTGGTTTGTTTTTGTTTTTGTCTGAGACAGGGTCTCACTCTGTCACCCACACTGGGGTGCAGTGGCATGATCGCAACTCACTGCAGCCTCGACCTCCCAGGCTCCAGCTATCCTCCCAGCTCAGTCTCCTGAGTAGCTGGGACCACAGGCACCTGCAAGTACACCCAGCTAATTTTTGTGTTTTTTGTACAGATAGGGTTTCACCATGTTGCCCAGGCTGATTTCAAACTCCTGGGTTCAAACAATCCCCTACCTCAGCTCCCCAAAGTGCTAGGATGACAGGAGTGAGAGCCACTGCACCCAACCTATATTTGTATATACATTAAATTGTATATGTTAGGCCAGACACGATGGCTCATGCCTGTAATTCCAGCATTTTGGGAGGCCAAGGTGGGCGGATCACTTGAGGTCAGGAGTTCGAGAGCAGCCTGACCAACATGGTAAAAACCCATCTCCACTAAAAAAACAAAGTTAGCTGGACATGGTGGCAGATGCCTGTGCTACTCAGGAGGCTGAGGCAGGAGAACCAAGCAGTGCAAGTTGCAGTGAGCCGAGATCATGTCACCGCACTCCAGCCTGGATGAGAGAGCAAAACTCCATCTCAAAAAACAAAACAAAAATTGTATATGTTATTGTATGTATGTGTATATAGTAAGTTGTATATACCCATATTAAATATATATACATATATTACACTTTACACACATACACTTGTTTCCTCATGCAATTTGTTTCAGCAGAAGTAAAAACTAACAAAGTTATAAGTAAAAGAATATTTACAGAAGCACTATTTTGGTGGCAAAAGTACTTTAATATCTTAAATGCTCATATAATGAAAGATACTTTAACTCTTACAAAGAATGAGTTAGCATTTTATCTACTATAAAGGTATCCTAATATCTTTATACCTAAAGTGATATATGTGGCCAATTGTTATATTTAAAAAGGAGAATGCTTTATAATTAAAGAAAAAAGAAAGAAACGTTATATAATAGCCCTCCCTTATCTGCAGGAGATGTGTTTTAAGACCCGCAGTGGATGCCTGAAACTTGGGTAGCATTGACCCAATTGCTTTCAATCAGAACATATTTCTGTTTGATTTCCACTCACAAATTTAATGACTTTTTCATCTTAACTAAGCATTTATCACACATGTGACTGTACTTTTTAGAGCTTGGGGTGCAACAAACAAGACTAAGCGAAATTTCTTTCCCTTCTTACATTTTCACTGCTAGAGGATTTGTTCTTACCATCCATCTTAGCAACCTGAGCACACGACTTCTCTCTTTTTCTTTCTTTCTTCCTTTCTTTCTCTTTCTTTCTTTCTTCTTTCTTGCTTTTTCTTTCCTTCATCTTTCTTTTTTTCTCTTTATTTTATGTATTTACTTATTTATTGAGATGGAATCTCAGTCTGTCATCCAGGTTGGAGGGCAGTAATGTGATATTGGCTCACTGCAAACTTCTCCTCCTGGGTTCAAGAGATTCTCATTCCTCCTCCTCCCAAGTAGCTGGGATTAAGGCCCTCACCACCGTGCCCAAATAATTTTTGTATTTTTTTGTAGCGATGGGGTTTCACCATGTTGACCAGGTTAGTCTCGAACTCCTAACCTCAAAAGATCCACCCGCTTCAGTCTCCCAAAGTGCTGGGATTACAGGCATGAGCCACCACGCCTGGTCTGTATATTCTGTTTTGTGCTGGCCAATACTTACTTGAGTCTTGGAGAACATCATGGAAAGATGCTCATCATCTTGTTAACTGGTTATTTCAAGAGTGGAACTGGAGGGGGAATACGGCCTTTCCTGTGTATTTATTTGTAATGTTTCATTTTCATTATGAACATGTATTATTTTAATATGTTTAAATATTAATAAAGACAGGTAAATATATGTAATTTTAATTCAAGCTGAAATCCTCAAGGCAATCACATATAATTAAATAGATGGAGGAAAGAAAACATTTAAAATCCCTGAAGGAAAAGGAGGGAAGTCCGGGCAAGGAGGCTCATGCCTATGTCAGCATTTTGGGAGGCCAAAGCAGGGGGATTACTTGGGGTCAGAAGTTCGAGACCAGTTTAGCCAACATGGTGAAACCCTGTCTCTACTGAAAATACAAAAATTAGCCAGGCATGATGGCATGCGCCTGTAATCCCAGCTACTTGGAAGGTTGAGGCGGGAGAATCGCTTGAACCCGGGAGGCAGAGGTTGCAATGAACCAAGATTGTGACACTGTGGTTCAGCCTGGGTGACACAGCGAGACTCTGTGTCAATCAATCAATAAAAGGAGGGGGGAAAACACAAGTAAAAAATAAGTGATTCAAAAGTAGCAATGCACCATAATGCCTAAATTTGTAGGATTGGCGGGGTGTGATGGCTCCCACCTGTAATCCCAGCACTTTGAGAGGCCAAGGTGGGTCGATCACCTGGTCAGGAGCTCGAGACCAGCCTGACCAATATTGTGAAACCCTGCCTCTACCAAAAATAAAAAATTTAGCAAGGTGTGGTGGCGGAAACCTGTAGTCCCAGCTACTAGGGAGGCTGAAACTGGAGAATCACTTGAACCTGGGAATCAGAGGTTGCAGTGAGCTGAGATTGCCCCACTGCACTCCAGCCTGGGTGACAGAGCAAGACTCCTTCCAAATAAATAAATAAATAAATGAATAAATAAATAAATAAATAAATAAATAAATAAATAAATAAAAACACTTTGTGGGACCAATTCCAATTGAGTCCAGGGGAGCACACACTGGAGACCAACATCCCCCCTCAGGTCCCTTCAGGGTCGAGAGAATGCATCTGGAACAGACTGGGAAACTCCAGCAGGCAAAGTAAGGTGCCAGGAATAGACACCACCTGACACATTCTCCATGTTCCCTCCACCCACCCCTCTCCCCACCGGTCTTCCATCGGGCTCCAATTCTGCACTCTCCCCAAGAACCTCAGATTGAAACATTGCAAGGAAGACACCGATACTCAAAGTCACAGGCTTAGGAATCTGAGCTACAAAGAAAAATGAGTCCCTGCTCCCCCAACTGCATGGTACTCCCCTCAGCACTGCTGCCCTGCACCTGCCCCCTCCTCCATAATTTGAACTGTCCTCACAGAAGCTGGAGAGATGGCCCGCCTGTCAGGAAAGAGAGGACCAGCATGTGGCAAATGCCTGGGATATGTAGGAGCAGATGGTGAGATTAGCACAAGGATGTAAGAAACAAGTGGCTCTCAGACCAAAGAAGACTCTGCGGGAGACGGCACATTAAGCCTTCATAAGTGCGTGCGCTGGACAGCAGCTCCCCAGTTACCGAAACAATTATCTGAGAAAGGCTCTGAGCTGACCCGAAACGCCCTTGGATCCCATGGCAACGCCTCAGCGTCTGGCGGTAATAGGCTTCTGTGCCCAGAATCTCTAGGTCTGGAGGTTCCAACTCCACCAGCCTCTCACAGCCCAGAGGTACCTCCCATTGGCGCCTGATGGGTTAGGGAGGCTGTTCTTCCAGCTGTGACAGATCCAGCCTTGGAGCGCTCCTGGGTCTTCTTAGTTGTTTCTTCCCGCACACCTGCCACTCGAAGCCACAACCCACTTGCACGCCACCTTGAGGACACCTTAAAATGACCATCTAGTTCTGAACCTCGCTGAGGGAATGGTCAGTTTTACTCCCATTAGATGGCTTGGCCCAAAGGACCTAGCGACCACCCAGACAGAAATTTCTTCCTAAAAGCTGCATGTGTCTGTGGTCTCTAAGAGGCAAAACTAAACCCTAAAGAAAAAGCTAACCCACCCCCACCTCCACCGCAAAACGAAAACAAAAACAAAACCCACCGCCAACCCACCTTTTATGTGAGGAGTCCTTGAGAAGGGCCTCCCCAGCCAGGACAAGGCAAGGGAATCTGTGCACTTGGCCAGACCCAGAACACACAGTGTCAGGGACCTGACAGTCACACTCTGACCCCATAGAATTTCCACGACTGACCCACAGATCAGGATGTGTCAGCCTGAGAGATGACTCCACAAATCTGGCTTTCACAGATTGATTAAACACACATCCCATCACTGACACCAGATTCCCTCATCACTGACCCTACATACCCACAATCATTGATTCCATGGACTTCATCACTATCCCAAAGACCACCCATCACTAATCTACAGATCGTCATCTCTCACCCCAGGGAACTCACAGATTCCCCATCCCTGATTCCAGGATCTATAGAACCTCATCTCTTACCCCCACAGACCTATTAATAAAAGGATACATTCATAGGAGACTGTGTTGACCATTTTACACACCCATTGCCTGTGTGTGCTGATTAATGGACTTAGGTAAACTTTAGCATTTTGGTAGGCAATGCAATTTTTCAATGCCTTTTCTTTCTTTCTCTTGTACATCTTTAAAGGCCTTACTCCAGTAAATGTGCATTGCAGTTTATTAATGCCTATCCCTTATTGAGTCCTTGTCATGCATATTTGTTATTAATCATAATTCACAATTCTTATAATTCAGAGACACCAGAGATTCACATAAGAAGAATGGCTTTGGGTTTTTATTTATTTATTTGTTTTTGTTTCTGTAGATTATCAAATTCATTCATTTGTATCAACTCACTAAGTCTATACTTTGTTTTCTAAAAAAAAAAAATTCCAATCAGTTTTTTTTTTAAGACAGACTATCGCTCTGTCACCCAGGCTGGAGTGCAGTGGTATAATCATGGCCACTGTAGCCTCAACCTCCTGGGCTCAAGTGATCCTCCCTCAGCCTATGTAGTAAGCTGAGACCACAGGCATGCACCAATATGCCCACCTAATTAAAATTTTTTTTGTAGATAATGTGTGTCTCACTATGTTGCAGAGACTGGTCTTGAACTCCTGGGCTTAACTGATCCTCCAACCTTGGCCTCCCAAAGTGTTGAGATTAAGGTGTGAGCCACTGTACTCAGCTGATAAAATCTTAAAAAGAGGAAAATACTTTGGGGCCTAAGGTAAAATTTCCACTGAGATGATGTGTCAGAAATTAAGGTAGAATAAGATGGCCCTAGGGCATCAAAACAACGGAAACTAAATCTTGGGCTGGGTGCGGTGGCTCACGCCTGTAATCCCAGCAATTTTGGAAACCAAGGTGTGGGACTCACTTGAGATCAGAAGTTTGAGACCAGTCTAGCCACCATGGTGAAACGCTGTCTCTACTAAAAATACAAAAATTATCCTGGAGGTTGCACTGAGCCATGATTGTGCCAATGCACTCCAGTCTGGGCAACAGAGGGAGATTCTGTCTCAAAAAAAAAAAAAAATAGAAGAAGAAGAAACAAAATCTTAATTTCTTCATCAAATGTAAAAACTATGGACTGGACTCTGGAGGAATAATAAACAAAAAGACACATAGGCACTTTTTTTTGAAGTTTTATTGAGAAATATTGATAACATACCACAGAAGCCACTGATTTAAAGTGTAAAATTCAGTGGTTTTCAGTATATTTGCACTGTTATGCAAACATCACCACAATAAATTTTAGATCATTTTCATTACCCTGAAGTAAATACCATATCCCTCCATTTCCCCCCAACTCCCCTAACCCTGGGCCACCACAAATCTACTTTCTGCTTCTATGTATTGGTCTATTTTGGACATTTTATTTAAATGGAATTACATAACATGTGGTCCTTTGTGACTGGCTTCTTTCACTTAGCATAATATTTTCAAGGTTTATTCAATCTTGCATGTGCAAAGGGGTCACTTTACATAAGGATAAACCTGGGGTGGGGGGTACTTACTGATTGATTTGGAAACTTCCCTCCAAAATTGTAAAGGGTTTCAAATAGAGGAAAAACCTATTCAGGCTAAAATCCTGTTTTCAGCAGTTTGTAATGTGGGGTTTTATTGCAAAGAATGGCAAGATTTTTAGGCTTATTTTCTGAAAATTCTCCCTGTGTTTGGGGAACAGTCACAGAATGTGGAGGAATGGGCTTCTAGGCTCTGTGGCTGGAGATTCACGTCCAGGAGAACTCAGGTCCCAGGGTAGGCAGAGAAAAACAGTGTAAGAGTGCCAACAGAATGCTTTGAAATGGAAAATTTTAAATGTTCCCTCCAAAAGGAGTCCCAGATAACCACACAAAAGAGGACTTTGCTGGGCAGGTCCATTGCAATTGTTCAATAACAAGACACAGACAGACTGGGCAAGAAGGAAGTTTATTTCCGCAGCCACTTACAGGGAGAAGTGCCAAGTAATTCACCAGATCAATTCAAAGTTACAAGTTTTTTTTTTTTTTTCTAGTGCTTATATACATCTTAAGCTCCACGTGGGATTGCACCTACAAGCAGGAGTGTTTCATTCAATCAACATCTAATCTTTAACTCAGGTCTAGCATCTGGAAAGATTTCTCTAGAGTCTTGGAAAGTTTCTGAATCTTAAGACAGGCCGAGGTGAATGTGTACCAATGCTATCATTATTCGATCAGACTTTAGGGTCTGAGAAAGCCCAGGTGGGGTCTCAATGGGTTTGTTTTCACATTCCATCCCTGATACTCAGGCACAAGTTTCTCCATTTCTTTAACGTTAACTTATGCAATCATCAAAATTATAGTAAAGGGTTAGTAGAAACTGTTCTGGTTGCTATTGGAAACCTGGCCTGCCACACTGCCATAGGAACTGAAGCCCACTACAGAACATTGAAAATGCCTGCAAACACTGACTTTACTGACCAGTCAATTAAACTGCAGAAAAGCAAGCTCACGTTGCCTCCCTGATCTGTCCTCCAGAATTGCTAGTTAGAAACGTGCACATTGTCCTAGGTTCAGTTTTGCAAAGATGGAGCCTGGCAGTGAAAGCATTTGTTTGAGTTCACACATTAAGGTTTGCTTTGTCTATTTCTTTTATATTTATTTATTTATTTATTTATTTATTTATTTATTTATTTATTTAATTATTCATTTATTTTTTTTTTTTTTTGAGACAGAGTTTCAATCCTCTTGCCCAAGCTGGAGTGCAATGTGGCGGTCGTGGCTCACTGCAACTTCCGCCTCCTGTGTTGAAACGGTTCTCATGCCTCAGCCTCCCAAGTAGCTAGGATTACAGGCATGCGCCACCATGCCCGGCTAATTTTTGCATTTTTAGTAGAGATAGGGTTTCACCATGTAGGCCAGGATGTCCTTGAAATCCTGAGCTCAGGCAATCCACCCGCCTCAGCTTCCAAAGTGCTGTGATTACAGGCATGAGCACCCTCAGCTGGCCTATTTTATTTTAAGATGGAGTCTCGCTCTGTCGCCCAGGCTGGAGGGCAGTGGCGCGAGCTCGGCTCACTGCAACCTCTGCCTTCGGGATTCAAGCGATTCTTGTGCCTCCGCCTCACAAATAGCTGGGATTACAGGCGCCAGCCACCATGCCTGGTTAATTGTTTATTTTTAGTAGAGACAGGGTTTCACCATGTTGGCCAGACTGGTCTCGAACCTCTGACCTCAAGTGATCTGCCCGCCTCAGCCACCAAAATTGCTGGAATTACAGGCGTGAGCCACCATGCCCGGCCCCATTTCCTTTATTTTATTTATTATTTCGAGAAGGAGTTTTGCTCTTGCCATCCAGGCTGGAGTGCAGTGGTGCGATCTCGGCTCACTGCAACCTTCACCTCCTGGGTTCAAGCGATTCTCCTGCATCAGCCTCCAGAGTAGCTGGGATTACAGGTGCATGACACCAAGACCAGCTACATTTCCTTTATTTTATTTTTTTATAATTTACTAGCCTGTTTGTTGATAACAAGACTGGCGGTGCACAAGGTTGGGTCTCGGTGCTCACCGGGAGGCGGGCATGGACCAGGTGGGAGGGTCTCCAGTGCCTGGTACAACTCTCCAAGAAAGCGCAGGAAACGGCACTAAGGGTGATAGTAAAGTTTTGGTTTGGCGAGGCGGGTAGGCGTTCCAGCGCAGAAATGCGCAGGAAATGTTTTGCTGTGCTTGTAGGGAGGTTATCCCCAAGCTCTTCTTATTGGCTTGCAGTGAGACGAGATCACGCCACTGCACTCCAGCCCGGGCTACAGAGTGAGACTCTGTATCCAAAAAAAAAAAAAAAAAAAAAAAAAAAAAAAAAAAACCAGTGAATGAATATCTATTGATGCATGAAATGGCTGCATTAAAGGAAAACTAGCCAAGAAAAGACAAGGCAAAAAAAAGTCAAGGATCAGTATGAAAAATAAATATATTTTAAAAGATTTGTTTTTAAAGCAACAACACGGATTTAAATTTTAAAGTGAAAGAAGTAGCTCCAAGATAGAGGAAACAGGATGGCTTCTGAAGAAGGGAATGTTATTCTTTGAAATGGAAAGAAATTATGACAAGAGGGTAGCACAGACTGAAGAGGTGGAGGTAAAAGGGTGTTCTTGGCCAGACACAGTGGCTCACACCTGTAATACCAGCACTTTCGGAGGCCAAGGCAGGTGGATCACCTGAGGTCAGGAGTTCGAGGCCAGCCTAGCCAACATGGTGAAATGCCGTCTCTACTAAAAATACAAAAATTAGCTGGGTATGGTGGCAGGCGCCTATAATGCCAGTTCCTTTAGAGGCTGAGGCAGGAGAATCGCTTCAACCCGGGGACAGAGGTTGCAGTGAGCTGAAATCACAACACTGTTCTCCAGCCTGGGTGACTGAGCAAGACTCTCTCTCAAATTAATTTTTTTTTAAAAAAAAGAGTGTGTGTGGGGGGGGGGGTGGGTATCTTGACTTTTCTCCATGTGTCTTAGGCCACAACTCTTACATGGGACCTTGCAGAAGAGATTCCCCAACCAATACCTTTAAGGCGCTGCCTCCCTGATGGGCTGGGTTCTAAACAGCAGTGCCTTCCCCATCTGCTCAGTCCTTACTCACCTGGGCACCATCCTCCCGGTACGTCCCTTGAAACCATCCAGGGCTCTTTCCCTTGCTCCATTAAGGAAATCACATCAGGCTTTGGGATAGAGAGACCTGTTTATAAGAAAAGAAGTAAGATGGACAGGCAGGCATAGTGGCTCACTCCTGTAATCCCAGCACTTTGGGAGGCCAAAACAGGTGGATTGCTTGAAGTCAGGAGTTCAAGACCAGCCTAACATGGTGAAACCCCGTCTCTACTAAAAACACACAAATTGGCCAGGTGTGGTGGCGGGTGCCTGTAATCCCAGCTACTCAGGAGGCTGAGACATGAGCATTGCTTGAACCCGAGAGGAAGGTTGGAGTGAACCGAGATCACGCCATTGCACTCCAGCCTGGGCGATAGAGTAAGACTTCATCTCAAAAAAAGAAAGAAAGAAAGAAGAAAGAAAGAAAGAAAGAAAGAAAGAAAGAAAGAAAGAAAGAAAGAAAGAAAGAAAGAGAAAGAAAAGAAGTAAGACATACTCGTGCTGTTCCTGAATTCAAAGTTAGTCCCTTAGTACTCACGAAGGACTAGAGGAAGGTGTAAAGGTCTGAAGCATGGAGAAGATGGAGGGACCCCAAAGAGCTGTCCATCTATTAATCTACAAAACACAAAACAATTCCCTAAGCAGCAGGTGAAAAGTCACCCAGACAAGTGAAAGCTACACCCAAAACTCATGAGTTATTTGGGAACAGACATCCTTACCTAGTGAGACCAGGCTGCTATAATTCTCCATCATTACATCTCTGTATCAGTCCTTCTGAGCAGCGTCCAGGCACTCCCATTCCTCCTGAGAGAAGTCTATAGACAGATCCTGGAACATGCCCAATCCCTGAAATGACAAACCCAGGCAGCACTGTTGAAGTTAAAGGAAAGGTTTTTAAGATGAAGAAAGAGATGGAAGGGTGCTGAAGGATGGAGAGAATATAGTGAGCAGACCAGCTAGGTTGAGAGTGGGGAAGAGTAAAAAAATTAGTGTAACTTCAACAAAGTACCTCCATGTTCATGAATATTCCTGTTGTGGCCAGCAAAGCTCCTTCAAAGAAAGGGACATTCCCAGTATTCCATGGTTAGAGCTGGGAATGAATAAAGTACATTGATATATGATTTCCCAAATAAATGAAATAAAGTTGAAAAGCACACAGCAAGCTGTAGGCCTGGCAAGGCTTCAAGAATATTAGAGTAAACATCTGATATGCAAGTTACTATTTACAACAAAAGCTTAATAAATAGGCACTTCCCCCTTACCATTTTCTTTCTTGTTTTTTTTTTCTCTTCTTTCATTTTTTTGTTTTCACTTTGAGACAGGTTCTCGTTCTGTTGCCTAGACTGGAGTGCAGTGGCACAATCACAGCTCACTGCAGCCTCAACCTCCCAGGCTCAGGTGTTCCTCCCACCTCAGCCTCTGTATTAGCTTTGACTATAGGCATGTGCCACCGTGCCCAGCTAATTTTTTTTTGTATTTTTAACAGAAACGAGGTTTTTGCCATTTGGGCAGGCTACTCTCAAACTCCTGAGCTCAAGCAATCCACCTGCTTTGGCCTCCCAAAGTGCTGGGATTACAGGGATGAGCCACCACACCCAGCCTTGTCTCTTTTCTTAAAGGAAGACTGTATCTTTCAAAAATATCTACAAAAAGTTTAAAAACCTCTATTGGCTGGGCACAGTGGCTCACACCTGTAAACCCAGCACTTTGGGAGGCCAAGGCAGATGGATCGCCTGAGGTCAGGAGTTCGAGACCAGACTGACCAATATGGAGAGACCATTTTAGTCTCTACTAAAAATATATAATTAGCTGGGTGTGGTGGCACATGTCTGTAATCCCAGCTACTTGGGAGGCTGAGGCAGGAGAATCACTTGAACCTGGGAGGTGGAGGTTGCAGTGAGCCGAGATTGCACCACTGCACTCCAGCCTGGGCAATAAGAGTGAAACTCTGTCTCAAAAGAAAAACAACAACAACAACAAAACCTCTATTGCACTTTGATAATTAGTACTTCCATAAAATAGTATAGATAGTACTTTGATAATTAAATGTACATTGGCTGGGTGTGGTAACCCACACCTGTAATCAAAGTACTGTGGGAGGCCAAGGCAGGTGAATTGCTTCAGCTCAGGAGTTCAAGATCAACCTGGGCAACATGGCAAAACCCTATCTCTACAAAAATATATGTCATATACAAATTAGCCAAATGTAGGGGGACATGCCTCTATTCCCAGCTACTTGGGAGGCTGAGGTGGGAGGATTGCTTGAGCCTAGGAGGTCAAGGCTGCAGAGAGCTGTGATCCTGCCACTGCACTCCAACCTAGGCACCAGAGCAAGATCCTGTCTCAAAAAAAAATAAAAAAATAAATAAATAAAGGCCAGGTGTGGTGGCTCATGCCTGTAATCCCAGAACTTTGGGAGGCCGAGTAGGGCAGATCATGAGGTCAAGGGATCAAAACCATACTGGACTACATGGTGAAACTCTGACTCTACTAAAAATATAAAAATTAGCTGGGCATGGTGGTGCACGCCTGTAGTCCCAGCTGCTTGAGAGGCTGAGGCAGGGGAATTGCTTGAACCCAGGTGGTGGAGATTGCAGTGAGCCAAGGTCGTGCCACTGCATTCCAGCCTGGTAACAGATCGAGACTGCATCTCAAAAAAAAAAAAAAAAAAAAAAGAGTGGGTATCATGGTAGGAATAAACTGCACACAGGTCAGACAAAAGTTACAAGGGCATCTGCTAGTATAAACAAGTTTCCTGTGAGACACCTGGTCATGGGTCAGATACTTGAGCATTAGGCTGTGGTCCAGAAAAAAGAAATTTCTGGTGAAAGACTACTCTAAAGACCCACAGGCCCCTCCCCTAGAGCCCCATTAGAGTGAGGTAGAGTTTATAGCCATTCTCCTGAGAGACCTCAAGACCCAATTAGAAGAAAACTATAACATTTGTTATATAGAAGGCATTTTCCAAAGAGTAGTTCAAAGATAAAAGATATAGTCTTCCTTTGGATAAAAAACAAAATCTCAAGATACACCAAAACTGTTTTGCTTTTACTGAGTAATTTTTGTGCATATGTGTTTAGCTGCAAGTGGCTAACAAGCTGTGATTTTCTTTCCTTTCCTTTCCCTTTTTTTTTTTGTTGAGACAGCCTTGCTCTGTCAACCAGGCTGAAGTGCAGTGACCTGATTTTGGCTCACTGCAACCTCAGCCTCCCATAGCTGGGATTACAGCTGCCTGCCACCACACCCACCTAATTTTTGTATTTTTAGTAGAGATGGGGTTTCACTGTGTTGCCGAGGCTGGTCTCGAAATCGTGGCGTCAAGTGATCCACCCACATTGGCTCCCAAAGTACTAGGATTACAGGCATGAGCCACCATGCCTGGCCAACTCTGATTTTCTAACTTGTCTCGTGTATTAGGTTCATACTAGGAAAAAAACAGGTCAGAGCCATTGGAGCCACGTGTACAGATGTGCAGTAGCTCTGCTGCTTGCTTTAGCTCTTAAGACAGATGAGTTTAGCACGTGTCTGCCCTTGCTCTAGCTGTCTCTGATTCCCCACAACAGATGCACAATCATGTCACTCTGTTAGATTCACTTTGGATATCCCATTCTTAGATTAAAACCAGCAGGCCAAAACGATAACTTTAGGAAATGCTTTCACATCCACAGTGTTCTCATAGGGCCAGTATCATTTAGACATGTCAGGACCGTGGTTGCAGGGGACAGAATGAAGTGTCATCCTTAACTGGCCATCTAATGTCATCAGCATGAACAGGAGGACTTTATACAATATTATCTGATGTTTCTGAATATTACCTTACAAATGCTGCTTTATTTATAACTTAAGAGTAGGGACTCTGTCTTTTAAAGCTTTATACATCCTCAAGTAAAGGTTTTTCATATTAAATCCATTAATAATATCTAAAGGCCGACCTGGAAATTCCATTTCTAAGTATTTATCCAAAGTAAAGATGTTTCTTCTTTTTTTGAGATGGAGTTTCGCTCTTGTTGCCCAGGCTGGAGTGCAGTGGTGTGATCTCAGCTCACTGCAACCTCTGCCTCCTGGGTTCATGCGATTCTCCTGCCTCATACTCCCGAGTAGCTGGGATTAAAGGCACACACCACCATGCCCAGCTAATTTTGTATTTTTAGGAGAGGCGGAGTTTCTCCATGTTAGTCAGGCTGGTCTCAAACTCCTGACCTCAGGGGATCAACCCACCTTGGCCTCCCAAAGTGCTGGGATTACAGGTGTGAGCCACCACATCCTGCCAAGAATTTTTTTTTTTTTTTTGAGACAAGTCTCAATCTGTTACCCAGGCTACAGTGCAGTGAGGTGATCACAGCTCACTGCAACCTCTGCCTCCTGGGTTCAAGTGATTTTTGTGACTCAGCCATCAAAGTAGCTTGGAATACAGGCACACACCACCATACCCGGCTAATTTTTTTTGGTTTTTTTGGTAGAGAGCAGGTTTCACCATGTTGGCCAGGCTGGTCTCAAACTCCTGGCCTCAAGCAAAGCCACTTTGGGAGGCCAAGGTGGGCAGATCACCTGAGGTCAGGAGTTCAAGACCAGCCTGGCCAACATGGTGAAACCCTGTCTCTAATTAAAATACAAAAGGTAGCCGGGCGTGGTGGCAGGTGCCTGTAATACCAGCTACTCAGGAGGCAGAGGCAGGAGAATCGAATCGCTTCAGCCTGGGAGGCAGAGGTTGCAGTGAGCCAAGACTGTGCCACTGCACTCCAGCCTGGGCAACAGAGCGAGACTCTCTATCAAAATATAAATAAATATAAAAATACAAAAAAGCCGGGCCCAGTGGCTCATGCCTGTAATCCCAGCACTTTGGGAGGCCAAGACAGGCAGATGACTTGAGATCAGGTGTTCCAGACCAGCCTGTCCAACATGGCAAAACCCTGTCTCTACTAAAAATACAAAAATTAGTCGGGTGTGGTGACTCACTCTCTAATCCCAGCTACTTGGGAGGCTGAAGCAGGAGAATCGCTTGAACCTGGGAGGCAGAAGTTGCAATGAGCAGAGTTCATGCCATTGCACTCCAGCCTGGGCAACAAGAGCGAAACTGCATCTCAAAGAAAAAAAAAAAAAAAGAAAGAATACAAAAAATTAGCGGGGTGTAGTGGCGCATGCCTGTAATCTAGGCTACTCTGGAGGCTGAGGCAGGAGAATTGCCTGAACCTGGAAGGTGAAGATTACAGTGATGAGACTGCACCACTGCACTCCAGCCTGGGTCACAAGAGCCAAGAGCGAGAATCCATCTAAAAAAAAAAAAAGAATTTCTATTTGGGGGACAAAATAAAAGGAGTGAAAGGGATGTAAAGAAATTGAAAGTCAACAGGCTAATAATGCCAATAAATAATGATGGAGCAAAGAAATCAGTATTGGCCAAATAAAACCAACATGTTTTTTAATATTTTTTCAAAATTTAGACAAACCATTCCAGTACACTGAGACACTTCTATTATCAAGACTTTAATATTGCCTGAGCACAGTGGCTTATGCCTATAATCCCAGCACTTTGGGATGCCAAGGCAGGAGGATCGCTTGAACCCAGAAGTTCAAGTCAAGCCTGGGAAATATAGGGAGACATCGTCTCTGCAAAAATAAAATAAAATAAAATAAAATAAAATAAAATAAAATAAAATAAAATAAAATAAAATAAAATAAAATAAAATAAAATAAAATAAAAAGCCAGGCATGGTGGTATACATCTGTGAGCTGTGACAACCCCACTGCACTCTAGGATGGGTAACAGAGCAAGAAAGACCCTGTCTCAACAAAAAAACTAGAATATAGAATAAATGACATTTGGGTAAGTGGAATATTAGGTGTTCAATAAACACAGGTTATTCCCTCCCTATCTCCATAGAATCATCAATTTTTTTAAAAAGAGAAGTTTTGATTAGAATCTAAAAATATCAATACTTCTCTTTCCAAAAAAGGAGGGAGGATTTAAATATAACAATTTCTTGGTTATTTCTATTTATTTTCATTGTTGCTTAATATTACTCAGTAATGAAAATGCAATTGCTCTCTTTCAAACATAGTTTTAATTAGTTGCACAAAATGCCACCTTATAGTCTGATGTACTTCAAATTTCCCTATCTATGAAAGCTAAATTTGGATATTATCTCAAGGATATTATAATCTCTGTCTTTAAATCTATCTAGGGTTCTACCTTTTCTGTAAGCCTTAGTGAATCTCACTATAGTCCTCCTTCCCTTTAAAAATGCAGTGATAGGCTGGGTGCAGTGGCTCTTCCCTGTAATCTGGGCACTTTGGGAGGCTCAGGTGGGAAGATTGTTGGAGCTCAGGAGTTCAAGACCAGACTGGGCAACATGGCAAAACCCCATCTGTGCAAAAATTACAATTAGCCTGGCATGGTGCCATATGCCTATAATCCAGCTACTTGGGAGGCTGAGGAGGGAGGATCCCTTCAGCCCCGGAGGTCAAGGCTGCAGTATGCCCTGATCCTGCCACTGCACTTTTGGAGGCCAAGGCAGGTGGATCACCTGAGATCAGGAGTTGGTGACCAGCATGGCCAATATGGTGAAACCCTGTCTCTACTAAAAATACAAAAATTGGTCAGGTGTGGTGGTGGGCACCTCTAATCCCAACTATTCAGGAGGCTGAGACAGGAGAATCACTTGAACCCAGGAGGCGGAGGCTGCAGTGAGCCGAGATTGCACCACTGCAGTTCAGCCTGGGCAAGGCAGAGTGAGACTCTGTCAAAAAAAAAAAAAAAAGAAAGAAAGAAAGAAAGAAAAAGAAAGAAAGAAAAAGAAAATCAGTGATAGGTGAGACAGCTCATGCCTGTAATCATAGAATTTTGGAGGCAGAGGTGGGAGGATCATTTGAACTCAGGAGTTCAAGTTCAGCCCAGACAACATAGTGAGTCTTCTTATCTACTGAAAATTATTTTTAATTACGCCACAGTGCTAGTGTGTGCCTCTGGTTTCAGCTTATTTGGCAGGCTGAGGTAGAAGGATCACTTGAGCATCGGAGATGAAGGCTGCAATGAGCTGAGATGGTACCACTGCACTCCAGCCTGGGAGAGAGAGTGAGACTCTACCTCAAAAATAAAAATAAATACATAAATAAAAATTCAGCGATGGAGTTGATGGATTTGAGGTTGAGGACCCCCAATGTGAATCCATTTGGAAAAAACTCAACCTGTGTTCTCCCTCTGCTTCACACCAAAACCACAACAATCTACCCAGAAGACTTCTGTGGCCTCAAAATATGAGGAGATTTCTCCCTATCAGCAAGCAAGGAATCAGTTCTGCAGCAGACACCAGCTGGGTATCCACCAATTCGATTCTGACACTATCTACCATGAGATAGTGTCACCCCACAGATTGAGGGCTCAGCCCCCAAAACTGCCCCCCTTTCAGACACCAGCCACAAGTCCCAGCCTCTGGAACTTCTGACTGACAGATTTAATTTGGGGTTCCTACAACCCCCTCTTTGGGTTTGATTAATTTGCTAGACTAAAATGGCTCACAAACCTCAGGGAAACACATTTACTGTTTGATTACAAGGATATTCCAAAGGATATAGATGAAGAGATGCCTAGCGTGAGGTATGGGGGAAGGGGCACAGAGCTTCCATCCCCTCCCTGGGCACGACCCTCCAGGAACCTCCATGTGTTCAGCTCTCTGGAAGCTCTCCGAATCCACTCCTTTTGGGTTTGTAAGGTGGCCTCATTACATAGGCATGATTGATTAAACCATTAGCCACTTGCCATCAACTTAATCCTCAGTCCCCTCCACTCCCCAGGGGTGGGAGAGTAGGGGCTGAAAGTCCCAGCCCTCTAATTCTGCCTTGGTCTTTCTGATGACCAGCCCACATCCTGAAGCTATCAGTTAATCCCTAACATATAAAAAGCCAAAGCCTGGGTGCAGTGGCTCATGCCTGTAATCCCAACACTTTGGGAGCCTGAGGCAGGCAGATCCCTTGAGGTCAGGAGTTCGAGACCAGACTGGCCAATATGATGAAACCCCGTCTCTACTAAAAAAGAACACAAAGACAAAAATTAGCCGACCATGGTGGCACATGCCTGTAGTCTACTTGGGAGGCTGAGGCAGAAGAATTGCTTGAACCCGGGAGGCAGAGGTTGCAGTGAGTGGAGATTGTGCCACTGCACTGCAGCCTGGGTTACAGAGCAAGACTCCATTTCAAAAAAAAAAAAAAAAGCAAGCCCTTAGGACATTCCAAGGATTTTAGGAGTTGTATACCAGGAAATAGGGACAAAGACCAAATCTGTATTTGACAAAAATCACAGAACCGTATGAGTTTTTAATTCAATACAGACATGGAAACTGGCCCAAGCATTTACTCACAGATGACTGGGCAAATCACTGGTCCTATGGGTACAAACTATTGATCAAACCCCCAATCTCATTCCTACCCCTAAAATATAGCAAAGGGAAAGATCTTATTACCTATTTGGACTGAGATAACACCATCCCTTAAACTGCATGGCTTTCAATCCCAGGGCTATGGCATGTGATGCCACATAGAATATGCATGAATCTTCTCTCCAGCAATTGAGTTGTTAGGATAAAGGCTCTTGTCTTTGCCTTCTTTCTCTCACAGCCAAGAATATTAAGGAACGTGGACACAAAGGATGAGGTTGGAACACAAGTTTAATAAGCAAAAGAAGAAAGCTCTCCCCAGCGGAGAGGGGACCCGAGAGAGGGTTGCCAACTAGGAGGCTGAATCTGGGGGTTTTGTGAACTGGGAAGGGGAAGAATGCTCACTAGTCTGTGAGCTGTCTTGGAGAAAGCACAACTTCACTTGGCCCAGGACCTTAGCTTGGGACCAACCAGAGGCTGAAGTGAAATTTTGGCCCAAGACCAATCAGGGGCTGAAGTGAAAGTTTGGCCCAGGACCAAACAGGGGCTGAAATGATGATTCATGGAGGCTTGGCTCACAGTCCAAAGCATGTCCAGAAAAGGAAATTGGCCACCAGAGCCTGTTAGTTCAAGCCGCACCGATTTGTAAGCCCCCACCATTTCACAGACTCTGGTCAGAGGGAAACATTCCACTGGGGTTTGGGCTGAGGGAAACTTCCTCCCCAACCGCCTGACTTCCTTATCACATCCTGCTGGGGAAAGGCCCAAGAAACATCCTTATCAACATTCTCCCAGGCAACAAGCTATACTGCCCAGATCCCTCCTGCCCAGGCCTATAATTACTCCAGCCTATAAGCGGCAGTGGGCTCTGGCATTTAGTTGGTCCCCTCCATAGAGCCGCCAAGTCTCTCTCTTTCTTTAACCTTCACCTTCCCTTCAAAATCTAACAGAGCCCACCGTATACATGCCCACAAAAAAGCGACTATTTCCTGGAAGCCCGCTGATCACACAAAGGACAAAGGCATTTCTATGTTGGGCCTCGGTCCCTTATCAATGCAGCTGAGGAATGTCTTTAGGACAACCCCCTTTGCTAGTTTTCCTTCTCTGTGCCTGCAGCCTGATTTTTTAGGCTGTTTCTCTGTTGAAAGGAGTTTTACCAAGGACCCGCTCTAACTCCCTAAAGGGATTTTTCTCTCAAGGGGACACACAAAGTTCCAATCGCACACATGCCTCCCTATATCCACTTACCCTCTGCCTCACAGCCAATCACACTCTCCTCTCTCACACAGACCACGGGGCCACACAAGTTGCACCTGCACAGCCACAGACCTGCAACTCACGCACACACAGTACTGCACACACACGCAAAGTCACACACCCACCCTGGGTCACGCAGCCCCAACTACACAGTAACTGGTTGTCCACATCCGCACACACAACGCGGCTCGTCCAGGACACACACATCCACTCCGAGCACGCACAGTCATAAGCGCCCACCTGATCACCCAGAGTCAACACCACACAGCCACAGTCACAGACCACGAAGACCCACGGCAACCATCGCAATCACACATGCAAACTCCTCTCCTCAGCCCTCCACACACAAAAGGACCGGAGCTGGATTCCTCATCCTCAGCTTTTTCTAGTTCCTCTCGGGGCCAGCCTGGCCAAGTTACTCCGGGCTCCAAGGCACTGCAGCAGCTAATTGCGCACAGCGAAAGATCCTACCACTTGGCTAAGAGGAAGCCGAAATCTCGCGAGATGTGGTATTGGCCTGCAGAATCCTCCGGGAAATGTAGTCCAGAGCCCGACTGCTCCCCTACTAAAACTACAAAAATTAGCCGGGCCTGGTGGGCACCTGTAATCTCAGCTTCTTGGAAGGCTGGGGCAGCAGAATCGCTTGAACCCGGGAGGTGGAGGTTGCAGTGAGTCAGGATCGCGCCGTTGCACTCCAGGCTGGGTGGCAGAGCGAGACTCAGTCTCAAAAAAAAAGTAAGCAGACATTTCTGCTGCCCACATGAGGTTTACATTCTAGTCTGGAGAAAAAAAAAGATTTTAAATTAAAAGGGGAAGATGAAGTAATTTTATATTGTGATAAATACAATGAAATATATCAGTAGGTGGTATAAGCAGTAACTTGAGGGATACTTCCCATAGCATTGATAGGACGGGTGTCTGAGATAACCCTCGAGCTTTGGTGGTGAGGAGCCAGCAGTGTGGAAGGGTATTCCAAGCAGAGGCACAGTTACACTGAAGACCCTGAAAAATCAGAGAGCGCTTGGAGCATTCCGGAAACAGAAAGCAGCCTGGTGTGACTGAAGCTTAGCAAGTGAGTGGGAAATTAGTTTAGATTTAGGATGCAGACGTCAGCATTTTCCGATTCATATGAGAAAATGACAGTGCTGAGATTACAGGCGTGAGCCACTGCACCCAGCCCCAAACCAAGTTTTTATAGCAGCAAGAATAGATGCTCTCGTACAGTCAGCGTCTAAAGATTTTACAAACAATATCTCTTCTTTTAGTTTGCAGTCATTATTTAAATAACAAACATGTCCTATTGTCAGGCCTTACTCTCAGTAACTGATTTCATTGATCTGAATAGGAAACTTACTTGATTAATCAGCTACTCTTTGGTATTACCTGACATCTCATTAATGCATCTTTGAATTGAATTATTGCTCAATAGGAGTGATTGTGAAATAGTGGCAATGTGTTACATCACTGTTGAAGTTACCGTCTCTCATGTGAGTCCTGTGACAGTTTCAGCAAGTATAAAGCACTATGGAGTTTTACAATGATTTCTGTAATCTTTTCTTTTTTTCTTTTTCTTTTTTTTTTTTTTTTGAGACAGAGTCTCGCTGTGTTAGCCAGGCTGGAGTGCAGTGGCATGATCTCAGCTCACTGCAAGCTCCGTCTCCGGGACTCAAGTGATTCTCCTGCCTCAGCCTCCCGAGTAGCTGGGATTACAGGCGTGTGCCACCACGCCCGGCTAACTTTGTATTTTTAGTAGAGACGGGGTTTCACCATGTTGGCCAGACCGGTCTCAAACTCCCGACCTCAGGTGATGCGCCTGCCTCGGCCTCCCAAATTGCTGGGATTACAGGCGTGAGTCACCACGCCTGGCCTATTTCTGCAATTTTATAAAGCAATTATTTCATCATAATTTGTTTGCTTATCCTTTTTTTTTTTTTTTTTTTTTTTTTGAAACCGAGTGTTGCTCTATAGTCCAGGCTGGAACATGGTGCTGCAATCTCGGCTCACTGCATCCTCCGCCTCTCAGGTTGAAGCGAGTCTCCTGCCTCAGCCTCCCGAGTACCTGGAATTACAGGTGCACACACCATGCCAGGCTAGTTTTTGTGTTTTTAGTGGAGACAAGATTTCACCATATTACCCAGACTGGTCTCCAACTCCTGGGCTCACGTGATACACCCACCTCGGCCTCCCAAAGTGTTGGGATTACAGGTGTGAGCCACCTCACCCCACGGCTTGTCCTTCTTAAATAAGAAGTAACAGTGTTACAGTTCAAAATTCTATTTTAAACTTTTTAAATATTCTGTTTCTCGACTTGATCAGGATGTTTCTTTTATTGATGATCCACAAATCTTGATTTCATAGCCGTTTGTAAAAACAAACAAAAAACAAACAAAAACAATTATTTATAAGAAAAAAGCTGTTTTGAGTTAAATGGGGTTTTCAATAAAACTGTAAGCTAGGCTGGGCACGGTGGCTCACACCTGTAATCCTAGCACTTTGGGAAGCTGAGGTGGGTGGATTGCCTGAACTCAGGATTTCAAGACCAGCCTGGGCAACAGGGTGAAACCCCGTCTTTACTAAAATACAAAAAATTACCTGGGTGTGGGGGCAAGTACCTGTAGTCCCTGCTACACGGGAGGCTGAGACAGGAGACTTGCTAGAACCCAGGAGGTGGAGGTTGCAGTGAGCCAAGATCATGTCTGCATTCCAGCCTGGGCAACAGAGTGAGTCTCCATCTCTAAAAACAAAAACAAACAAACAAAAAAACAAAACCAGTTGGCCAGATATTCATTCATTCCGATGTAGTCAACACTTTTCATTTTCAACACTTAACACAATTAATGCTAGGTTGAATTACTTTCATAATATAAACTATTTTACATAATTCCCAAAGCACTGAGGATCAATCATAAATACTATCCACAAGGCAGCCAATAGACACACACAGACCACCTCTCATATAACTTTGGGATAGAGCATTCAATCAAGAAAAAGTCTTCCAGGTATAGCCATCAATTTGCCATCATTTTGTAGCACTGATCTTGCAAAGATTTTTTTTTTTTGAGGTGGAGGAGGCTCGCTCTGTCACGCAGGATGAAGGGTGGTGGCACGATCCACTCACTGCAACCTCTGCCTCCTGGGTTGAAGCGATTTTCCTGCTTCAGCCTCCCATGTAGCTGGGATTACAGGCAGGTGCCACCACTTCTGGGTAATTGTTTTGTATTTTTAGTTGACACAGGGTTTTACTATGTTGGCCAGGCTGGTTTGAACTCCTGAATTTCAGTGATCCACCTTCCTTGGCCTCTCAAAGTGCTGAGATTACAGGTGTGAGCCACCGTGCATGGCCTGATCTTGCTTGGATTTTTTATCTTCCATAAAATGATTAATGCTGCCCATCATATTTGAGAGAAATTAAATACCAAGGTGTAAAATTTTGTGCAATAGGCCAGGCATGGTGGCTTATACTTGTAATTCCAGCACTTTGGGAGGCCGAGGCAGGCAGATCACTTGAGATCAGTAGTTCTAGACCAGCCTGGCCAACATGGTGAAACTCCGTCTCTACAAAAAATACAAAAATTAGCTGAACGTGGTAGTGTGTGCCAGTAATCCCAGCTACTTGGGAGACTGAGGCAGGAGAATCACTTGAACCCAGGAGGCAGAGGTTGCAGTGAGCAGAGATTGCACCACTGCACTCCAGCTTGGGTGACAGAGTGAGGCTCCCTCTCCGAAAAAAAAAAAATTGTGGAAGGCCACAAACCATTGCAACAACTATAATTCATTTTACCTTCAATAACCAATGTTCACCCTCTTAGGGGCAATATCACTCCCATTAAAAATGCTTGGCCAGGCACAGAGGCTCATGCCTGTAATTCCAGCACTTTGGGAGGCCAAGGGGGGCAGATCCACTGAGGTCAGGAGTTCCAGACAAGCCTGGCCAACATGGTGAAACCCCGTCTCTACTAAAAATACAAAAATTAACCAGGCATGGTGGCACCCACCTGTAGTCCCAACTACTCAGGAGGTTGAGGCAGGAGAATCACTTGAACCTGGGAGGTGGAGGTTGCATTGAGCTGAGATTATGCCACTGCTCTCCAGCCTAGGTGACAGAGTGAGACCCTGTCTCAAAAAAAAAAGAATGCTTCCAGTAAGGCTAAATAAATATACAAATTAGGCATGTGGCATGTGTGTTAGTATACATACAATATATTTCCTAGTTCTGCCCACTAAGAGGGCCTAGAAGCAATGACACACCCATAGCAATGAGCACACGTGTCACCCCGATCTTGGCGATTTTGTTTTTGTTTGGTTTTTAAAAATAGAGATGGGGGTCTCACTGCATTGCCCAAGCTTGTCTCAAACTCTTGGCCTCAAGGGATCCTCCTGCTTCAGCCTCCCAAAGTGTTGAGATTACAGACCTGAGCCACCTCACCCAGCCCAAGATTTTGGTGCTTTGTAAATAATACTTTTCAATGAAAGAAGCCAAGGATCTTTAAATAAATGGTTTATTCCACGTCTGGGTCAGGGAAAATACCAGATGAATCAAAACGCTTTATGTGCCAGAAAGTTGGTAATTAGTCCCACACCCCAACCCCCTGATAAAGGCATGCTATAAATAGAACACAGGAGCCAACCTAAAGAAACGCCCAAGGCCAATTTTTTTTTTTCTTGACCCAGTTTCACTCTTGTCACCCAGGCTGGAATGCAGTGGTGTGATCTTGGCTCACTGCAACCTCCATCTCCTGGGTTCAAGCGATTCTCCCGCCTCAGCCTCCTGAGTAGGTGGAATTACAGGTGCCTGCCACCACGCCCAGCTAATTTTTTGTACTTTTAGTAGAGACAGGGTTTCAGCAGGTTGGCCAGGCTGCTCTCAAACTCCTGACCTCAGGTGATCTCCATGCCTCAGCCTCCCAAATTGCTAAGATTACAGGCATCAGCCATTGCACCTGGCATAAGTTCGTATTGTTTTCAGTATCACAACCACATACATGTTCAATTGCACATATACTATGTTCTCTACAAATGTGCAGTTTGGACCTGCCTCATCTTGGTACTCTACAACAAGAGCATTGCATTGTCACACATGTAGACAATGAATTGACTCAGAATCACAAATACTTGTACTGGGGACCTGTAGGGAGAAGTCAAGCCCTAGGAAGAGTACCAGGTCATCATCTGGGAAAGGAAATATTAGGAGTATTTGGGGTGTGAATAATACTGTATTGAATTCCAATTCATTTCAAAATATATTTCACAGATTATCACAAACAAGGAAATAAGTTGTGTGTATTTTTCTTTGTTTTGTTTTGTTTGTTTGTTTGTTTTTTAAAGAGAGTTTTACTGTTGTTGCCCAGGCTGCAGTGCAATGCCACGATCTTGGCTCACCTCAACCTCCACCTCCCCAAAACCTCTGCCTCCCAGGTTCAAGTGATTCTCTTGCCTCAGCCTCCCAAGTAGCTGGGATTACAGGCATGTGCCACCATGCCTGGCTAATTTTGTATTTTTAGTAGAGATGGAGTTTCCCCATGTTTTTTTTTTTTTTTTTTTTTTTGAGACAGATTCTCACTCTATTGCCCAGGCTGGAGTGCAGTGGTGAGATCTCAGCTCACTGCAACCTCTGCCTCCTGGGTTGAAGCAATTCTCCTGCCTCAGCCTCCCAAGTAGCTAGGATCACAGGTGCCTGCCACAGTGCCTGGATAATTTTTGTATTTTTTAGTAGAGTTGGGGATTAGCCATCTTGGCCAGGCTGGTGTTGAATTCTTGACCTTGTGATCCACCTGCCTCAGCCTCCAAAAGTGCTGGGATTACAGGCGTGAGCCACCGAGCCTAACCAGTTTGGGTTTTTTGAGACGGTCTTACTCTGTCATCCAGGCTGGAGTGCAGTGGCATGATCTCAGCTCACTGCAACCTCTGCCTCCTGGATTCAGGTGATTCTCCTGCCTCAGCCTCCTGAGTAGCTGGGATTATAGGCGCATGCCACCAATCATGGCTTTTTTTTTTTTTGTATTTTTGGTAGAGATGGGGTTTCACTGGGTTGGCCAGGATGGCCTCGATCTCCTGACCTCGTGATCTGCCCGCCTCGGTCTCTCAAAGTGGTAGATTTACAGGCATGAGCAAGCATGCCCAGTGAACTGTGACCATTTTGAAAGCCATGATTTATGGGAATAGCAGTTATTTCTCTTTGTGTAAATAAACAGAGGCCACCAAAATAAGAACAAAGAGAGGCTTATGCATACAGAACTTACTACAGAGTAAGGGATCCATTTGTTTATGTTGTCTATAGATTCTGGATATTATTAGGCCTTTGTTGGATACATCGTTTGTGAGTATCTTCTCCCATTCTGTAGTTTGTTTACTCTGTTGATAGTTTGTCTTGTTGTGTTTATGCTTTTATTTTACTTTAATTTTTTTTTTTTTTGAGGCAGTCTTGCTCTGTCACCCAGGCTGGAGTGCAGTGGTGCGATCTCAGCTCACTGCAACCTCTGACTCCTAGGTTCAAGCAATTCTCCTGCCTCAGCCTCCTGAATAGCTGGGATTACAGGTGTGTGCCACCACCACCTAATTTTTGTATTTTTATTAGAGACAGGGTTTCACCATGTTGGTCAGGCTGGTCTCAAACTCCTGACCTTGTGATCTGCCCAACCTGGCCTCCCAGCTTCTGGCTTAATTAGGTACCACTTGTCTACTTTTGTTTTTGCTGCAATTGCTTTTTTGGAATCTTAGCCAAAAATTATTTGCCAAGGCCGATGTTGAGAAGAGTTTCCTAGTTTGTCTTCCAGGATTTTTATAGTTTGAGGTCTTATATTTAAATCTTTAATCCATTTGGAGTTAATTTTTGTATATGGTGAAAGGTAGGGGGCCCAGACTCAGTCTTCTGCATGTGGGTAGCCAGTTATCCCAGAATCATTTGTTGAATAGGGAGTCCTTTCTTCATTGCTCACTTTTGTTGACTATGTCAAAGATCACATGGTTATAGGTGTGTGAATTTATTTCTGGGTTTTCTAACCTATTCCATTGGTCTATGTGCTGTATTTGTACCACTACTATGCTATTTTGGTTACTGTAGCCTAGTAGTATAGTTTGAAGTGGCATATATGATGCCCATCAGCAGTGGATTGGATAAGGAAAATGTGGTAATTATACACCATGGAATACTACATAGCCGTAGAGAAAGAAACCATGTCCCTTGAAGCAACATGGATGCAGCTGGAGTCCATTATCCTAAACAAATTAATGCAGCATCAGGTAACCAAATACCCATGGTCTCACTTATAAATGGGAGCTAAACATTGAGTACACATGGACACACAGATGGGATCAATAGACACCAGGGTCTGCTTGAGTGGGGAGGATGGCATGAGGCTATGGGTCAAAAAACTATTGGGTACTCTGGTTACTACCTGGGTGACAATATCATTTGTACACCAAACCCCAGTGACATGCAATTTACCCGTGTAACAAGCCTGCACATGTATCTCTTAAACCTAAAAACAGAAAAAATTAAAAATAAATAAATAAATGAGGTATAAGTCTAATTGTTGAATGTTGTGAATAGTAACCAACACAGCCATTGAAAATAGTGAGAGTGGCTGGGTCGGTGGCTCACACCTGTAATCCCAACACTTTTGGAGGCCAAGGTTGTAGGATAACAAGATCAGGAGTTTGAGACCAGCCTGGCCAAGATGGCAAAACCCTGCTGCTACTAAAAATACAAAAATTAGCTGGGCATGGTGGCTCATGCCTGTAATCCCAGCTACTCATGAGGCTGAGGCAGCAGAATCACTTGAACCTGGGAGGTGGAGGTTGCAGTGAGCTGAGATTGCACCACTGCACTCTAGCCTGGGCGACAGAGCAAGACTCTGTCTCAAAAAAAAAAAAAAAAAAAAAAAAAGAGAAGAAAAGAAAAGAAAAAGAAAATAGTGAGAGCACCATATAAGGAAAGTGGTTCAGGCACTGTGGTAAGGGGTGAGTGTCAGCCAAGTCATCAGCTATCAGAACACGAAGCCATCAGGTAATATATCAAGTTGATACATTAAGAAGGAGGGGCCGGGCACGGTGGCTCATGCCTGTAATCCCAGCACTTTGGGAGGCCAAGGCAGGTGGATCACGAGGTCAGGAGATCAAGACCATCCTGGCTAACACGGTGAAACCCCGTCTCTACTAAAAAAAAAAAAAAAAATTAGCCAGGCCTGGCGGTGGGTGCCCGTAGTCCCAGCTGCTGGGGAGGCTGAGGCAGCAGAATGGAGTGAACCCGGGAGGTGGAGCTTGCAGTGAGCCAAGATTGTGCCACTGCACTCCAGCCTGAGTGACGTAGCAAGACTCTGTCTCAGAAAAACAAACAAACAAGCAAACAAAACAGAAGGAGGAGGATCTACCTATTATATAACAGAGATAAGCACTCAGATATATGGATTATAAATAGTTTAGAAAATTTAAATATTTGATTATTCAGAAAGTAGACTTGGGACTATTGGAGAAACAGGGTGGGGAGTAGACTGCATGGAGAGCTCTTTCTTAGTGTGGGATTTTCAATTATGCACATAGGTTTCTTACATAACATGGAAAATTCAATTAAGAAACAACATTGTGTTTTGGGGTCCCAAAAGTTCAGTGATTGATTAGAAGGACTCACAAAACTGAGTCAAGCTGTTATACTCATAGTTATAGTTTATTACAACAAAAGGATACAGATTAAAATCAGCAGCAGAAAAAGGTGCATATGGCAGAGTCCAGGAGAAACCAAGCACAAGCTTCCAGTTGTCCTCTGCCAGTGGTATCATGTGAACAGTGCTTAATTCACCCAAAGATATGTGGCAGAAAGTACAGAAAATACTCCCCAACAAGAAGCTTACCTGAGCCTTGGGGTTGAGGGTTTTACTGGAGGTTGGTCTCATGGACAAGAGCACCCATTTGGATGACCTTAGTTTCCTGTCTCCACCCTTCCCAAGGTCAAGCTGACACTGCATGGTCCAAGGTCCCCACAATAAATCACATTGTTAACTTCAGATAGGCAGGATATTCCAAGGACTTAGAGGTTATTTCCCAGGAGCCAGGCTAGAGTCACACCATTCTTTGGAGTATGCCAGGTTTGGGCAATTCAGGCCTACTAAGTTTCCTTGACTGCACACAAATGATAGTGAGTATGTAGGAAATGAGTAGTCGCATATATTGCTGGTGAAATTAGTGTTATATAACCCTTTGGAAAGAAATCAAGTGTGTAGTGCATAAACATTATATTTGGTTTGATTTGTTTTTGTCTAAGACAGGGTCTCACTCTGTCACCCATGCTGGAGTGCAGTGGCATGATCACAACTCACTGCAGCCTCGACCACCTGGGCTCCAGCTATCCTCCCACCTCAGTCTCCTGAGTAGCTGAGAGCACAGGCACGTGCCACCACACCCAACTAATTTGTGTGTTTTTTGCACAGACAGGGTTTCACCATGATGCCCATGCTGGTTTCAAACTCCTGGGTTCAAAGAATCCCCTACCTCAGCTCCCCAAAGTGCTAGGATTACAGGAGTGAGCCAGTGCACCCAACCTATATTTGTATATACATTAAATTGTATATGTTAGGCCAGGCACGGTGGCTCACAAGTGTACTTCCAGCACCTTGGGAGGGCAAGGTCAGTGGACCACTTGAGGTCAGGAGTTCGAGAGCAGCCTGGCCAACATGGTGAAAACCCATCTCCACCAAAAAGACAAAGATAGCTGGACTTGGTGGCAGATGCCTGTATTCCCAGCTACTCAGGAGGCTGAGGCAGGAGAATCACTTGAATCCAAGATGTGGAGGTTGCAGTGAGCTGAAATCACACTACTGCACTCCAACCTGGGTGACGGAGCAAAACTCCACCTCAAAAAACAACCAAAAATTTGGGTATGTTATTGTATGTATGTGTATATACACATATTAAATATATATACATATATTACATTTTATACACATACATTTGTTTCCTCATGCTATTTGTTTCAGCAGAAGTAAAAATTAATAAAGGTATAAGTAAAAGAATATTTACAGAAGCACTATTTTTGGTGGCAAAAGTACTTTAGCATTTTATATGCTGATATAATGGAAGATACTTTAACTCTTACAAATAATGAGTTAGCTTTTTATCTACTATAAAGATATCCTAATATCTTTATACCTAAAGTGATATCAATGGCAAATTGTTACATGAAAAAGGAGAATGCTTTATAATTGAAGAAAAAAAGAAAGAAACGTTATATAGTAGCCCTCCCTTATCTGCAGAAGATGTGTTCTAAGACCCGCAGTGGATGCCTGAACCTTGGATAGCATTGACCCAATTGCTGTCAATCAGAACACATTTCTGTTTATGATTTCCATGCACAAATTTAATGCCTTTTTCATCTTAACTAAGTACTTATCACACATGTGGCTGTATTTTTAGAGCTTGGGGTCCAACAAACAAGACTAACAGAAATTTCTTTTTCCTTCTTACATTTTCACCGCTAGAGGATTTGTTCTTACCATCGATCCTAGCAACCTGAGCACATGACTTCTTTTTCTTTCTATTTTTTTTCTTTCTTTCTTTCTTGGTTGCTTGCTTGCTTGCTTGCTTGCTTGCTTCCTTTCTCTGTCTTTTTTTCTCTCTTCCTTTTTTCTTTGTTTCTTTCATCTTTTTTTCTTTCTTTCTTTCTGTTTATTTATTTATTTATTGAGATGGAATCTCACTCTGTCACCCAGGTGGGAGTGAAGTAATGCGATATTGGCTCCCTGTAACCTTCATCTCCCAGGTTCAAGTGATTCTCATGCCTCCACCTCCCAAGTAGCTGGGAATACAAGTGTCTGCCACCACGCCCAGATAATTTTTGTGTTTTTTGTAGTGATGGGGATTCACTATGTTGGCCAGGCTAGTCTTGAACTCCTGACCTCAAATGATCCACCCAGTTCTGTCTCCCAAAGTACTGGGATTACTTGCGTGAGCCACCGCACCTGAGCTGTATATGCCATTGTATGATTGCAAATAATTATATGAATCTTGGAGAACATCATGGAAAGATGTTCATCATCTTGTTAACTGGTTATTTCAAGAGTGGAACTGGAAGGGGAATACTGCCTTTCCTGTGTATTTATTTGTAATGTTTCATTTTCATTATGAACATGTATTATTTTAATATGTTTAAATATTAATAAACACAGGCAAAAATATGTACTTTTAATTCAAGCTGAAATCATCAAGGCAATCATACATAACAGATGGAGCAAATAAAACATTTAAAATCCCTGAATGAAAAGGAGGGGAGGCCGGGCATGGTGGCTCACGCCTACAATCCCAGCACTTTGGGAGGCCGAACCAGGCAGATCACTTTGGGTCAGAAGTTTGAGACTGCCTTGGCCAATTGAGACCCCTTGACTCGATTGGAATTGGTCCCACAAACTTTTTTTTTTGAGGGGGTCTCGCACTGTCACCCAGGGTGGAGTGCAATGGGGCAATCTCGGCTCACTGCAACCTCTGCTCCTGGGTTCAAGAAATTATCCTGCCTCAGCCTCCCTAGTAGCTCAGACTTCAGGCAATGAAACTAAAGAAAGTCAGGGGATGGCTAAAGGATGGAGGATACCTGGGCTGGGGGAGGAGGGAGAATGCGACGGGTGAACACAGACAGGCTTCCAAAGCGGTGTCCAGGTTGTATTTCTTCACTAGGTGGTGGGCACACAGGCATGCATTTTTCCTTATCTTTAAATTGTACATATTTCATACACTTCTCCATATGTATTATACATTTCAAAATAGCACATCTTTTAAAAAATCACAGTGGTTAATGCAATCAGTACAGGTGCCAGGCACATACCAGAGACTCCAGGTGACGGCATGCTCTCCTCTTGGGCTCCTCATCTAGGGCTGAAAGTTTATTTCTCACCCCTGCCGCCAGCACCCCCCATGCCAGCCCATGTCTCTAAGTGCTGAGGGGAAGGTGTATGAACAGAGACACATACGGCCGTGGAGGAACCCGGAGGGAGGGCCCTCCACTTGGTGAGGACGGATCGTGAGGCTGGTCAGCGCTGAAGCTGAGTATCTTGCTTACTAGAGCAAAGGGGAACTGTGCTTATAGGACCATCTCTCAGAGCAAAACAAATTGAGTCTCTTGGGAAGCCTGGCATTGAGGATTGTCCAGCTTTCAGAAGTGAGAGTGTTCAGCCTGACTTCAGGGGCACAAGGTTCTTGCTGCCTGGGCCTGTTCTGTAGAGTGGGGCTGTCCCTGACTGGCCAGCTTTCAGAAGCATGCAGCACTGTCATTGACTTTTTGGGGTTTCATGCCACCACAGCCAAAAAGCAGTTTGTTTTTGTCCTTGAGTTTGGACTATAGATTGTTATTCTCTCCAGGCAAAGGCAGGAAGCACACAGGAACAGGTAGCGCCAGGTGGCTGCAGGCAGGTGGTCTGGCTGGAGCTCAGTGCAGAAGCACAAGACGGTGGTGAGGAGTGAGGCAGACCCAGGGGACTGAAACGCCACTGGAAAGAAGGTTCCACCCAGAGCAGTGGGGGTCACAGAGTGATCCTGAGAGGAGATTTACACAGAGATGCATTTGAGGAAAAGCAGAGACCAGTGGGAATGCTGGTGCTCTCCGCCAGAGGAGAGGCGACGGTGATCGGGACGAGATAGAGACACCGAGGCGGTGAAGATGGAGAGGCCATGTGAAGGTGGAAGGGACAGAATTTGGTGACAAGCGTCCAGACTGACGCCCAGGTTTCTACTTGGGGAGACCAGAAGGTGGCAGGGCGAATTCCAATGCCAGGTCTCCGGGGAGAGCACACTCAGGAGGAAGATGAGAGTCCGGGTCCCTGTGGGATGGACGTGGAGCCCTCCAGGGGCATTGAACTCTATAGATCTTCCAGTCAGGGGCAGAGGGGTCCAGGGCAGAGGAGACAGAGATCTGGGCACCACCCACGAAGGCACAGTGGGCAGGGGATGGAGCCCTCTGGAGGGAGCCAGCGCAAGGGTGAGAGAAGGAGCTTGCAAAGGAAGCAGAGCGGCAGCCAGGACAAGGGAAGGCACCCGGGAGGAATTTGCCTGCAGACCCCAGGGTTGAGTAGGCTTTAAGGAGGAGTGCATGGGGAGCATTGGGCTGCTCACAGACTGAACACACAGAGGCTGGCGTGGATGCCTGTGGCCTCTGCCCTTGCAACAACCTCTGTCTTGGGTCAGGTTTCCTGGAAGCAGAGCTGAGATGGAATTCCTGTGGAGGTGATTATGGAGGGGGTGCTCCTAGGAAAGGAGAGTGGGGGTAGAGAGCCAGTGCAGAGAGCTGAGCAAGGCTGTGACTGCTTCAGCCTGGTTGGATGAAGGGGAGTTCAGGAGCACTGCACCTCACGGCTGTCCCTGCCTTGAGGCCAGGACCATTTTGTGTCTCCTCTCCCTCCCCTCATCAATCAGGCACTGGGTTGTGGGGGAGGGTGTGACCTTCTGGGTGAGGCAGTTTTCCCACTTGGCCTAGGGCAATGAGCCTCCGCTATCCTCAGGTAGCCACCATTGCCTGAAGACAAGTGAGACCCCATGTGCTTGGGCAAAACCAACCCCTTCCCAGCTCCCAGCATTCAGGGAGGGTCTTTGAGTAAGACCACCCTCAGCTGCCTCCTCTGCTGGCAAACTCTCTGTCACTGCTTTCCCCACTGTCTGCCACTGTAGACCCCAGGATTAAGCTCATTATGCTGCTTCTCCCTCTGTATGGAAAGTTTGAGTCCCCCCAGGCCACCCCTTGCCCCAGACAGCTCTGTATATCCCCTTCTCAGACCCTTTCCCCCATCCCCAGTTCCCTCAAACCCTTCCACTCTCAATCTCCTGACCAGCCATGAGCAACGTCCCCCATAACCTAAACTTTTTGTAAACCAAAAATAAAATTCTGAGGGCCCCCCAGCCATCTGAATGGACCTCCTCCTCTGCCAGGGAATTCTTATAATGTAATCTGAAAGACTGGTTCAGGCCATGATGGGAAGTGGGGATCGGACTTGCATGATTATCGCTCCAGCATTAACATCAACACACTTTAGTCTGATAAGAAATATTTTACAGTCTATTCTCTCTGAAGCCTGCCACCTGAAGGCTTCCTCTGCAAATAAGAACTTTGGTTTCCACAATCCTTTATCTTAACCCAAACATTTTCTTTCTATTGATCCCAGGTCTTTAAATCAACTCAACCAATTGTCACCCAGAAAATTTTTAAATCTGCCTATAGCCTGGAAGTCCCCCCTCACCCACCCCCCGCCTTCTAGTTCTCTTGCTTTTCTGAACCAATTTATTTCTTAAATGTATTAGATTGAGGTCTCACGTCTCCCTAAAATGTGTAAAATGAAGTTGCACCCTGACCACCTTGGACATATGTTCTCAGGACCTCCCAGGGGCTGCATCATGGGCCATGATCACTCAGGTTTGGTTCAGAATAACTCTCTTCAAATATTTTACAGAGTTTGACTCTTTTTTGTCAACACTTTGAGCATCCCCTTGACTGTGCTGTAACTGGAGATGGACACCCGCTCGCCCCTCAAGGACCACATCGCTCTGCAGCACTCCTCCTCTTCTTATAACTTTTGGTGATTTCCGTTTCCAGGGGGTGATCCCTGCAAAACCCTGGCCTGCTCTCCTTTCATGGTCTTGACCTCAAAACTACCCCAGCCCTCCTCTCCCATGGCCACACCCTAGATATTGTGGCCCATAACCATAAAGTCTTCTCTCTCCACGAAGACAATTCCGAGTGGCCAACCAGCAGCAGGAGTATTGCCATCTTGGACAAGCACTGCCATTTTAAGTTCACCCTGATCAAAAACCGCCTAAATCCAAACGGCATCAGCCTAATGGCTAAGGTCAGCATGACCAAAAACCACAAATAACATCTCAGACCAGAAACATTCCAAACCCCTCCCTCACCAGAGGCATGCCAGCCCCGAGATAACCTCCCCTCCGGCCACAGATATGTCAGCCCCAAAGCTGCGTTTTGTGTTTCTTTCCTCTTTCTTTAACACTTACACTCCTGATTGTGTCCAGCTGACTTCTGCAGTGCCTCACCTAAACATTCCTTCAATGGCTGGGCTTACTCTCCACTGATCCCTCCACATTTTCACTGTGGTCACCCCTCTGTCCTCCCTCCCCCCTCCCAGGTATTATGGTGGGCACCAAACATTCTCAGCAGCATATGCCAGTTCCTCCAAGTCTTCTCTTCATTAGACCAACGTCCCCAGGCCCCCAGTTTTCCCCAAACAGGATATGGACCACCGATCAGCCATGTCCTAACGTCTTCACCTGGTGCTTCTGTCCATCTGTCCATGTCTTCTTGTCCCTGGAAAGCATGTTCTCTGAGAGCAGAGATTGTGTTTCCTGCATCTCTGTCTCCTGTTGCCCAGCGCAGAATTGTTGCTCAATGAAGATTTGTCCATCCAGATGAAGAATGGATGGGTGGCTGGATGGGTAGGCAGATGGATGATGAGTGGGTAGATGGGTAGGTGGATGGGTGGGGACTGATGGATGGATGGAGATAGATGGATGATGAATGGATGGATGGATGAGTGGGGGGATAGATGGATGGGGATGGATGGATAATGAATGAATTGGTAAGTGGATGGGTGGGTGGATGGATGGATGGGCGGATGGGTGGATGAGTGGGTGGATGGATGGATGGGAATAGATGGATGCTGAATGGGTGGGTGGGTTGATGGATGGATGGGGATAGATGGATGATGAATGGATGGGTGGGTGGGTGGATAGATGGATAATGAATGCATTGGTAGGTGGATGGGTGGATGGACGGATGGGTAGTTGGGGTGGATAGATGGATGGGTAGATGGGGTGAATGGATGGATGGGTAAGTGGATGGATGGATGGGAATAGATGATGAATGGATGAGTGGGTGGATGGGTAGATGGATGGGGATGGATTGATAATGAATGAATTGATAGGTGGGTGGGTGGGTGGATGGATGGATAGGTGGATGGATGGATGGGTAGGTGGATGGGTAGATGGGGATAGATGGATGATGAATGGATGAGTGGGTGGGTGGATTGATGGGGAGGGATTGATAATGAATGAATTGATAGGTGGATGAGTGGGTGGATGGATGGATGGATGGGGATGGATGGATAATATAAGAATTGGTAGGTGAATGGATGGATGGGGTAGATGGATAATGAATGGATTGGTAGGTGGATGGATAATGAATGGATTGATAGGTAGATACATGGATGGATGGACAGGGATGAATGGATAATGAATGGATTGGTAGGTGGATAGGTGGATGAGTGGATAGATGGATCGATAATGATTGATGGATGGATGGATGGGGATGGATGGATAGATAAATGGATTGGTAGGTGAATGGACAAATGGATGGATGGATGAGTGGGTAGCTGGATGGGGAATGAGTGGGTAGGTGGGAGAATGGATGATGGATGGATGGATGGATGGATGGATAAATGGAGGGATGCATGATGAATTTCTCCCTTGTTCCCAGCCTAGTCCTAGAATATGTTGCCTATTCTCAAAAATAAGGTACCACAAAGCCTCTGGTGATGGTGGAGCAAAGGAATAGATGGTGAATGTCTCATACCCACTTCGGATCCAGAACAGGCCTAGGAGAGACTCAGGTGGGATCTGCTGCTGAGGAAGGGGGTTGGGGCTGAAGTTGGAGGAGGAGGGCAGCTCTAAACCACCTCTTCCTGGCTCTAGGCCTCTCAGGCCAGACAGCCCCCACCCGTTTCTGCAGATGCCCGCATCATGGTCCTGAGGGGATGGGGGCTGGCCTGGAGCCTTTCCACCGTAGTGTGTGGCTATAGCGGGGACGTGAAGGGGGTGTGTTGGGGACGTAGTGACCACTCCCTTCTACTGTCAGAGATCCTGCTTCCCCCTGCCGCCTGCCCCTCCTCGGCTGCCCTTCATAACCCCCCACCCACTCCCCACCTGCCATCTCCTGTGCTTGTGTGGATCCAGAAAACACCTACCTGGGCACAGAGATCATCGCTTGGTGCCTCGCCCCTACACAAGGGCGATTAACTTCTCTGTTATGAACTCCTACTTAGTAATTCTGACATGAAACTCCCACTAGGATAAAACTTGGCGCAGAACAGCAATTACTGAAAACATATTTTTAAAAAGGTTGACGTTTTGTAAGAGTTCATCCTCCTCCACTCCTCAGCCTCCCTCAAGGAGACACATATTTAGATCTTCTCTGTGTGAGTCTAACTTGGAGACTGTGAGTTGCAGTTTAAAAGGGGCTCTGGGGCCAGGTGTGGTGGCACACACTTGTGGTCTCAGCTACTCAAGAGGCTGAGATGTGAGGAACGCTTGAGCCCAGGAGTTCAAGACCAGCCTGAGCAACATAGGGAGATGGGATCTACCCAAAACATTTAACAATAAGGCTGGCATGGTGGCATATGCCTGTGGTCCCAGCTACTTGGAGGCTGAGGCAGGAGAATCATTTAAGCCTGGGAGATCGAGGCTGCAGTGAGGTATGGTTTCAACTGCTGTGCTCCAGCCTGGGAGACAGGGCAATACTCTGTCTCTAAAAAATAAAAAATAAAAATAAAACAATAAAGGGCTCTGAGCCCAGCCCTCTGGCCAGGGTCTGGTGCAGTGGCAGAGGCTTGGGTCCCTGCCAGGTCTCCTGAAACGTCTCCAGAGTCTGCTGGGGCAGCCACCTGGGTGCTCAGTTGCTCTGTTAAACAGCAAAATTCCCAAGTCCTCATCTCAATGAGCCACTGAGGCCGATGAAGAGGGCCTGTCTCATTTAGGACATGAGTGGCCAGGCGGGTGCCACAGGCCCTTTTCCTGGTGACAACAAAGCCATTGCATGGCTCCAGGAAGGCCACATCATTTCCTGGGTTTCGTAGGCGCCTGCGGGGCGGAAACAGTTCAGCAGGGCCCTCCTGATCACAAGGACGAGGTCATACCGGCTGCTGCATGGCAGGGCTGCACTCTGCCAGGGAGCGTCCTGTGATGGAGGGGCTGCACTGCCACTTTACTGATGAGGAAATTAAGGTTCAGAGAGATGAGGTCATTTCTTAGAGGCCAGACAGCCTCCTCAGCCCATTTATAAGGTTGTTTCTGTGGTATTTGCCATAAAGCCATAGGTTCATTGATTTGTTCTTAAGTAGTTCTGAGCCCTTCCTGCATATCAGGCAGGGACAAACAGGAAAGTCCCTGCCTTTGGCAAGTGCGGGGGAAATGAAATGATTCTGCTTAGCCGCATCCATTGGTCTGAACAATCACGTCTCATGACCGCAGGGACGCGGCTTCCCCTGAATGCGGATCCTAGAGGCCAGGCAGAAGCAGCATGGGTTTCCACTCACACGGTAGGTGGCTGTGCAATTTCGTCTGGAGTCCCCAGACCCCTCCTCATCCTTCCCAGGGTTGCTCTGAGGCCATTCCTCGTCATCTAGGAGGGGTCTACATAAAAGCATTTATAAACACCTCCAAATGGGAGCCAGGTGCGCCCACCTTTGGAGCACTTTTCTCTACTGCAGATCTATCTACTGCTCATGAAATCTCTGGATTTAACTCTGATGAAAGACTGGAGGCTGAAGGAGAACTTCAATATCATATATTTTAAAGGTTGACTCACAGTTTGGAGCAAGAATTAAAGAACCACGAACTTCAAGGTAAAACGGGCAACGGCGTTGGGGCAAGCCTCTCTGCACCTGCGTGTCCAGCCTCTCCTGCATGCCAGAAGTCCCCAGGCAGGAGTGTGGTGGGACATCCGGCTGGGGTAAGGACAGGCACCCTCCCACAGTGTCAGGGCCCAGAGAGTGGGTGGAGAAGCTCTGCAAGAGACCTGTGCAAGGGCGCCTTGTAGGAGCCTGCAGTCCCCACAGGTGTGTTTGTGGATAACACTTGGGGAGCCCTGGCCTTTTGGGGTCATGGAGGGCTTGGCCTCTCACCTCAGAGCTGCGGAGGAGCCGCTTCTACATCAGGACATCAGAAGCTGGAACAGGATGACCGGCAAGGGGCCTCTGGTTGGGGTCACAGAGATGGGTCGCAGAGATGGCCCGTGTGGAAGGTTGGATTCTCACCCCACCTCTGCCCCTAGATGTCCTGGTGACCCTCCCCTCTGTAGTCTTTGTTTTTTGCAAAACAGTTATGACCTCCTGCCATACTGGGTACTTTGCTTATGTATTGTGTTTACTCTTTACTGTGTGTCTCTCCTGCTAAGGTCTACGAAGAAGGGTCTTTGTGGGTGGGGTTCTTAGAGGCGTCCCAAGTACCAGAAGCAGTCCCTGGACTAAGGGGCTCAATAAATATTTTTTATTTATTATTTTTTCTTTTTGAGATGGAGTCTCGCTCTCTTGACCAGGCTGGAGTACAGTGGCACAATCTTGGCTCACTGCAGCCTTCGCCTCCTGGGTTCAAGTGATTTCCGGCTAATTTTTGTATTTTTAGTAGAGACGGGGTTTCACCATGTTGGCCAGGCTGGTCACAAACTCCTGACCTCATGTGATCCATCCGCCTCAGCCTCCCAACATGCTGGGATTATAGACATTAGCCACCATGCCTGGCCAAATATTTGTCAAATTGAATTTGTATTTCCATACAAATTTTAGTCTGGATGAAGTGCTTCATGCCTGTAATCCAAGCACTTTGAGAGGCTGAGGCGGGTGGATGGCTTGAGCCCAGGAGTTTGAGACCAGCATGGAAAACATAGAGAAACCCCGTCTCAATATAAGAAGAAGAAGAAAAAGAAAAAAAAAAATCAAAAACGAAAACAACACAAATTTTAGGGTAAGTATTTTAAGTTCCACAAAAACCTGGTTAGGATTTGGATAGCAATTTCTTTAGTTCTACAAATCAATTTGGAAAAAATTAATTAATTTGGGAAGAATTCATTTTGAGTCTTCTAATCCATGAACATGGTATCTCCATTTGTTTAGACCATCTTTAATGCCTACTAATAACATTTCTGTATAGTGACCTTGCACATTATTCTTAGATTCTTGATATTTTGTGCTATTATGTCTTTTTATAAATTTTATTTTTCCAACATTGTTGCTAATATATAGTAAGAAAATGGAATCTTGCCTATGGATTTTGAACCCAACAACTTTGCTAAACTCCTCTGAATCCTCAGAATTTCCTTGTGGATTATGTAGGCTCTTCTGCATACACAACCATATCATTTGTGAATAAAGACAGTTTTGCTTTCTTCTTCACAAACTACCCGACTCACTGTGCAGTCTGCCACATCCAGGCTGATATTGAATAGCAGTGGCACTAATAGGATTCTTTGTCCCCTTGCCAATCTTGTAAAGAAAGCTTTCAACATTTTCCTGTTAGCTCTGTTGGCAGCTCTGACTTTTTCCATAGATGGCCTTCATCAGCTTAACAATGGGTCTTTTCTTCCCAGAGGGCTGAGCTTTTCCTTAAGAACAGACAGTGAGTGTCATCAAACACTAGGCTGCATCTGTTGAGATGGTCATACGACTTGTGTCTTTTCCTGTGTTTGTGTGTGAACTCTCTGGGTGTCTGAGAGTTCTTGTGACTTTCACAGAAGAACACAATTTACCTTCCGGTGTGGGAAGGGGAAGGAGGCAGAGGAAGAAAGACCCCCAAGTCCCCCTCATCCCCACTGACCTTCCTGCTGGCTTCGTCCTTGATCTGTGCCTCCTTAGATGCTGTGTTTGAGTACTTGCAGTCATGATGACAGGGCCAACCTCCTGACCAGGGCTGTTAGCACCTCCCCTGTTGCCCAGAGCCCCTGCTCCAAACCACTTCCTTCATCTTCTGTACCCCCAGCCAATATTTCCCTGCCCAGTGTCAACCCAGGCCCAGAACCAGACCACAAGGGACAGCCCCGGAACCCAGAATCAGACAAATCAGCCCGTCCCAAGCTGTCTCCCCTGCTCTGCCCGGCTTTCACAGGGAAGCCAACACAGGCTGTGGCTTGGCCTTTCCCTAGCTCCTTTCTGCCTCCTGCTCTGCCTGCGGCTTCCCCCTGCCGCCCTGCGGGGCCTGCCACGTCTCTCATTTCTAGCGAATGTTTCAAGAGCGATGTTAGACTTTCCTTTCAATAGCGTTGACCTCTGTTAGGCACCTTTATGGATTAAGACCTGGGCATAGATGGTTTCTTCGGCATCACGACCTGAAGGTGCTTGGGAGAGACGGTGAGGAGGAGAATGCACCCTGCCATGCTCTGCACCGCACATGGATGCGGATTTCACCATGTTGGCCAGGCTGGTCTGAAACACACGGAGCCCAAGCGCCCGGTGGACCCTCTGACGGTCCTCGGGCATGTGCCTTTGTAAGCAGAGTATTCAGCTCTCATCAGGGCCTCGCCAGAGCAGAAATGGTCTGTTGATAAATGCATCGTATACAATTACAAATGTGCACCCAGCATTGCTGCTTCCTCTTTTTTTTTGATATAGGGACTTGCTCTGTCGCCCAGGCTGCAGTGCAGTAGGGCAGTCACAGCTCACTGCAGCCTCAACCTCCCAGGCTCAAGCAATCCTTCCGCCTCAGCCTCCTAATTAGCTGGAACTACACATCCAGCTATTTTTTTTTTTCTTGTAGACACAGGATCTCACCATGTTGGCTAGGCTGGTCTTAAACTCCTGGGCTCAAGTGATCCGCCCACCTTGGGCTCCCAAAGTACTGGCATTACAGGTGGGAGCCACTATGCCTGGCCTGCTTCCTTTTGCAAACAGGAATCTTGTAAATAGAATTGATCAGAACTTGTTGTTTAACGTACACAGACCTCTAGCTGTACTGCAAAGCTGTGTGCACATGTGTTAAGTCATCTGTTCTATGTGTTCTAATTATAAATAAGAAAAAACAAATTTCAATCAGCCATGCTGGAGGAAGAGCAATTATGTTTCTATTCCTTCTATCGTAGGTGATGTAAAATTCTCAAACAATGAGATAGATAAAAAGTACGCAGCCAAAAAGTTCAAGAAGAAGTGTTATGGAGATGGAGCAGGCCCTTCGTAAAAACACGATGTTGGTTTTCTGGATTTTGTATGTTTGCTTTTTTTTTTTCCTCATCCTAAAGAAATATTCACTGTCATACCTAATTTTGTTTTTGTAAGTTTGTATTCTTTCTTTATAGGGAGGCCTCACAAAACCTGGATCAGACTCGCCCACTGCCCTGTGTCTGCCCTCCCGACCACCTCTCCTGCCCAGCAGGGATGTGGGTGGCAGTGGTGCTGTGTGGAGGGTGGCGGGAGGACGGGGAAGACTGCGACCAGTGAGCCGGGAGGCCTTGGGACAGCCTCTCTCTGAATCATCCTGTGCACTGCCAGGTGTGACAAAGGCTCCTAGAATCCTGCCTCAAGTGGCCGCCTTCACAGAGGGAGTCACTGACGTCCCTGCTCAATGCAGCCCTGGCATGTGGGGGTCCCTCTACTCATGAGAAACCCCCACCCAATCACCATGAGGTGTGTGACCCATGCTCACATCCAGGGACCACTCATTCATTCAGGAAACATTGGCCGAGCCCTCAGCAGGGGGCAGTGCTGGATGCCGGGATATAGAGAGTGGGGTGGGACAAGGACTTGGTTGTGAGACGTCCCAGTCTGGGGAAGGACTAAGAGAAGGTGACATGGACAGTCTAGACTACCCGTCATTGGTTCTCCAATGGGGGCAGTATTGGCAATGTTTAGGTATAAATTGGTTGTCACAACGAATGCTACCAACGTCTAGTGGGTGGAGGCTGGGGGTGCCGCTCAGCATCCTACCAGGTGTGGGACGGCCCCCACCACCGAGAGTGCCAGCCCCGAGGGCAGCCCAGGGTGCCCCAGTGGTGAGGAGCTCTGGTGTGGAGTGCAGGGTTCGTTTGGACCACGGCTGTGGAGGCCTAGGGGAGCTCCCGCCATCAGGATGGCCGGGCATCAGGCCTCTGTGAGGGGGAAGGGGGCATCAGTGCAGCGGCAGGCAGGGGTTCGACGGGCTGAGTCCTGCGACGTGTTGCATCCACACCAGTGTCTGGGGCCAGCACCACTGCTCAGTCTCTGAACCCACTTATTTCGCCCAATATTGCTAGAGTGGGAAGTTCCACCTTCCCCAGTCAGCTGCTTATCTCGTCTTTCCAATGCAGTTAGGAAGGGAAAATATTTTCTCCCCATTTTACAGATGAAGAAATGGGGCCTGGCGAGGAGCAAAGCCCAGAACTGCTACCCACCACCCTCCCTGCCTGGTGCTTTCCTGGGAACATGTGGGAGCCCCCGACTGGACCTTGGGACCTCCCATCTGTAATTGCAGGCCCCAGTCTGCCTGTGTGGATGTGGAATGTGTCACTCGGGATCCTGGAGTCCTCCTGAGCTTGTCCAGCAGGGCTGCATTCACTGATGTGCTGACAGAGGCCTAGGCTCGGACCTTTAGGAATATCCAAGGCATCTCATTATGCAGAAAACCACCCTCATGAGGTCCTGGGGGCCTCTCTCCATCTTCCTGGGGGTGACGCAATAGAGTGTAACTTCCACGCTGCCGAGACAGGCCATGAGGGGTTGCCCCCATTGGAGGGGCAGAGTGGTATTTGTGGGGTGGTAGGAATCATTCAATGCCCAGCTGCAACCCCCCGGGCTCACAGCACACTCTTAAGGCCAGTGCTACCAGCTCCCTTGGGTGGATAGAGGAGCTACGGCTCAGAAGCATGCCCACAGCTCCCCCAGGACCCTGAGGCCAGCCTGTGGCAGGGCCTGTGATTTGAACCCCTCTACGAGGCTTCAAATCAGTGCTGTTTGTCCTGGCCTCATAAAACCTGGCTGCCCAGTTGGGATTGGTGTCATCTGCCTTGCTGAACTGGGCACTCCTTGGGAAGAGGGTGGGTGCTGCGAGAAGGCGGTGGATCCTGGCTGTGCAACCTTCGCAGGTGGCTGAACCTCTCTGTGTCTCAGTTTGCTCATCTGCAAAGGGGGCTGGGATTCCTGCCTACCTGCATGTGCTCAAGAGGGAAAGCCAGCCAGGCATGGTGGCTCATGCCTGTAATCCCATCACTTTGGGAGGCTGAGGTGGGCAGATCACTTGAGGTCAGGAGTTCAAGACCAGCCTGGCCTAAATGGCAAAACCCCATCTCTACTAAAAAAATAAAATAAAAATAAAAAAATTAGCTGGACGTGGTGGCAGGTGCCTTTAACCCCAGCTACTGGGGAGGCTGAGGCAGGAGAATCACTTGAATCCGGGAGACGAAGGTTGCAGTGAGCTGAGATCCCACCATTGCACTCCAGCCTGGGTGACAAGAGTGAAACTCCACCTCAAAATAAATAAATAAATAAATAAATAAATAAATAAATAAAGTAAAAGAGGGAATGCTGAGAGACGGGCGTGGCCTGTGGCTCTGTAGCTACTCAGGAGGCTGAGTCAGGAGGATTGCTTTAGGCCAGAGATTCCAGGCTGCAGTGAGCTATGATCATGCCTGTGAACAGCCGCTATATTCTATCCTGGGAAACACAGTGAGACCCTGTCTCTGAAAAAATAAAATATTTAAAAAAGAGTGAATGGTAGGTCAGGGTCTTCTGTGGTGGGGTGGGTCTGGGCAGGGGTGGAGGCCCAGCCAGAGTCACTGGGGTCAGGGAGGGACTGGTGACAAGAATGCACAGCCCTGACCAGGGAAGCACCCAGGGAGCCTTCCCCGTGAAGGGCGGACCTGGCCTCGCCCTGGCCTCACCCCGGCTGTGAGTTGGAACCAGCATGGAGGGAAGCCAGGCCCGGTGCACTCTGCCCAGGGGGATGTAGTTTGGCCAGTGGGGGCTGCCATCAGAGGCTGTCCTTACTGTGGGATCGCTGTGGATGCTTTCCCTTCTGAAGCCTGGAACCTTGGGTCCCCATGCCCTCCAGCTCTGTCTCTTTTGTGGGCACCAGGAAGACACATTCCCTGGCCTCCTTTGCAGTGGCTGGCTGTGGAAGGAGGCCACTGGGGTCAGGTGGGTGTAGGTGGGTACGTGGCATCATGAGGACATATTTTTGTAGAGGGAATTACATTCTTTCTTCCAATTTTTTATTATAAAATTTTCCAATTGAAACCACCCACACCCCAAGCCTGGGGCCGGCCTCCCATCACTGCCTTCTCAGCCCCGGGGGAGGCCTCCTTCTTTCTGCATGGCCTCTGGGCCCATCTGAGCATTCCTCTTCCCTGATGGGAGAAACGCCTGGTGGGGGAGAAGTGGAAGTGGGTGTCCAGGCGAGTCTCAAATCCCAATGGCTGACCCGGAATCCCCCCTGCACACCTCTCCTCCTGGTGCCCGGAGGGGGCACCCACTCTGCTGCCAGGGATTTCCTGAGTAGCTGCTCCGACCACAGCCAGGGAAGAGTTCTTGCAGAAACTCTGTGGGCTGGGCCTGCCCTCCCCAGCCTTGGCATCTTCTTGTTGGTGTCTGAGTTTGAGTCTGTTCTGTGGGCTCTGTGGGAGGTGGGCCCAGCTTCTCACCATGCAGGACCCCTCACCCAGAGCCTGAAACCTGCTTTGACTAACATGCCTCTGGGTTCCTTCACTGGCCCTGCCCAGTCGCATCTCATGGGAAGAAGGACTGGCTGCTCGGGGTTCTCAGACCCTAGCCTGGGAAAACCAGTCTGAGGGCAGGGATAACCCTTGGCCCTGCCTCTGATTGGGCCCTGAGTTAGGTGGGGTTCTTCCCTGCTGAGGGTCCTGGAGGCATGGGAGGGTTTTGGGGTTCTGTGTGAGAGAAGCCTCAGTCCCTTCAGTTCTCACAGATCCCCCAAGGCTGTGTGTCTGATCCATTGCTTTACATAAGAGAGGAATTGGAGCCAGGCAAAGCCCAGGATTAAAATGGGTGGTGGAGGGGGGAAGCTGTGATTTGAATGTGTCCCTCTAAAAACACGTGTTGGAAACTCAGTCCTCAATGCAACAGTGTTGGGAGGTAGGGCCTAAGGGGAGGTGTTTAGGATGATCCATGGATGATCCATGCAGGTAACAAAAGGCCTCGAGGCTGGGCATGTGTTCTCTCACTCTCTCACACTCTCTTGCCGTGTGATGCCTTCTGCCATGTGATGACACAGCAGGAAGGCCCTCGCCAGATGCAGCCCCTGAAACTTGGACTTCCCAGCCTCCAGAGTCATGAGCCGAATCATCTTCTATTTTTTATTTTTTATTTTTTTTGAGACAGAGTCTTGCCCCGTCGCCCAGGCTGGAGTGCAGTGGCATGATCTCTGCTCACTGCAAGCTCTGCCTCCCTGGTTCACGCCATTCTCCTGCCTCAGCCTCCCAAAGAGCTGGGATTACAAGTGCCTGCCACAACGACTGGCTAATTTTTGTGTTTTTAGTAGAGACGGGATTTCACCATGTTGGCCAGGCTGGTCTCGAACTCCTGACCTCAAGTGCTCCACCCACCTTGGCTTCCCAAAGTGCTGGGATTACAGGCATGAGCCACCACACCCGGCCTTTTTTGTCTTCTTATAAGGAGGTAAGTTGTATTGAATCAGGGCCCACTCCAATCAGGTGTGACTGCGTCTTCACTTGATTATATCTGCAAAGGCCCTATTTCCAAAAAGGTTGCATTCATAGGTACCAGGGGTTGAGGCTTTAACATATCTTTTAAAATTTTTATTATTTTTTTGAGACAGAGTCTTGCTCTGTCGCGCAGGCTGGAGTGCAGTGGCGCGATCTCGGCTCACTGCAACCTCCACCTCCTGGGTTCAAGAAATTCTCTTGCCTCAGCCTCCCGAGTAGCTAGAATTACAGGCGCCCCCACCCACCCCACCATGCCTGGCTAATTTTTGTATTTTTATTAGAGCTAGGGTTTCACCATGTTGGCCAGGCTGGTCTCGAACTCCTGATCTCAAGTGATCCACTTACCTCAATTTCCCAAAGTGTAACATACCTTTTTGGGGGACAGAATTCTACCCACAAATTCTAGATAAGGAGGCATTGCTTCTTTTTTCTTCTGGTATTGAATGTCACTTTGGAGAAGTCTGATGCCAAGTTGGTTTTCTTTGCTTTATAAGATACTTGGTCTTTCTGTCTGGCTGCCTAAAGGATTATTTCTTTATCTTTAAAGTCCAGTGACTTTACAAAGGCATGTTTTGTGTTGACTGTTCTGGGCCAACACACACAAGTATACAGCATGCACTTTTACAGGCAGGCGCAAGTCTGCCTGCATTTCAATAAAGAGATCTTGAATGATAGTTTCAATCCTTGTTCAGCAGGTGCTGTGGTGCACACCTGTGCTCCCAGCTACTCAGGAGGCCTCCTTTTTAATCTCTTTCCTCTTTCTTTCCATTTGCTCACTTTTTCCTTTTTTACGTGATTTTCGTGGTGTCTGTGCTCTCATATTACCTGTAACTTCATTTCTTCATTTCTGAAATGGTTTTGTCTTTTTCTTCAGTTTCCTTCTTGAATTCTGTCATTTCCTACCACAGACTCCGCTGCCATTTGGCCACCTCTTCCCTGCATTCTTATTCTGTGCTTATTCTCCTCTGTTCTTATTCTGTGCTATAGTATCCCTTCGGAGCTGAAGTTCTTGTTGGAATATTAGATCATGATTTTCATCTGGTTTGTGGCAGTATTTGTCTGATGAGATTTCTTCATTTGTAGGAAAATAGCACTGCTTTTATTTTTTTTATTTTTTATTTTTTAAGACTGCAGCTTGCTCTGTGACCCAGGCTGGAGTGCAGTGGCACAATCGTAACTCACTAGAGCCTTGACCTACAGCCTGCACTCGAGCAATTCTGCTGCCTCTGCCTCCTGAGCAGCTGGGGACTACAGGTGCGTGCCACCATGCCTGCCTGGGCTTCTTTTTTTATTTTTTTGAGAGAGGGTCTCCCTCTGTCACCCAGGCTGGAGTGCAGTGGCGCAATCTCAGCTCACTGCAATTTCTACCTCCTGGGCTCAAGCGATTCTCCCATCTCAGCCTTCTGAATAGCTGGGACTACAGGTGCACACTATTGTGCCCTGGAATTTCTTCGTTTCTGTTTGTTTGTTTGTTTGTTTTTTGTAGAGACAAGGTTTCACGATGTTGTCCAGGCTAGTCTTGAACTGCTGGGCTCAAGTGACCTGCCCACCTCGGTCTCCCAAAGTATTGGGACTATAGGCGTAAGCCACCATGCCTGGCCTTTTTTTTTTTTTTAAGTTAGGCACTTAGGTCTCCTTATGTTGGCCAGGCTGATCTTGAACTTCTGGCCTCACTCAATCCTCCCACCTCTGTCTTTCCCACAAAGTGCTGGTGTTACTGGAAAAGGGGGGGCTCTGATCCAGACCCCGAGAGAGGTCTCTTTGATCTCATGCGAGAAAGAATTTGGAGCGAGTTCACAGAGTAAAGTGAGAGCAAGTTTATCAGGAAAGTAAAGGGATGAAGAGGAACTGAGGTCTCCTCCCCTCCCTTTTGAGACCTTATAAGGTAACCTCCAGACATTGCCATGGCATCTGTAAACTGTCATGGTGCTGGTGGGGGTGTCTTTTGGCAGCAAATGCATTCTAATTGGCATATAATGAGCCGTGAGGACAATCAGAGGTCACTCTCGTGGCCGCCTTGGTTTTGGTGGGCTTTGGCTGGCTTCTTTACTGCAACCTGCTTTATCAGCAAGGTCTTCATGACCTGTATCTTGTGCCGACCTCCTATCTCATCCTGTGACTTAGAATGCCTAAACTCCTGGGAATGCAGGCCGGCAGGTCTCAGCCTCATTTTACCCAGCTCCTGTTCAAGATGGAGTTGCTCTGGTTCCAACGTCTCTGGCATTGGGATTTCAGGCATGAGCCACTGTGCCTGGCTAGCATTGCTTTTGGAAGTGGAGAGCATGCCCATTTTTGTTACTCGTTTATTTGAATAGGATGGCTGTTCCGGCCAGGAGGTGCTGGGCCACGGCTCCTGGGAGGACCATGTGCTGCCCTGCTGGATAGCTAAGCACCACTGGCTCCTGTTGGCAGCTGAGCCGGCCCACCTTGAGGTCCTGTGCATGGGTTACAGCTGGTGGTGTGTGGGTGCACAGTGATGGCGGGCCTCTGAGAGCTGGGGCGGGCCAGTGTGGCCTGACTCTGCCTGTAGGAAGCTCTAGAACAGGTCATGCTGATCTGCGATGAAAAGTCGCCTCTGGAGGGGGTGCAGTGGGGACTGATGAGCACATATCTCGGGGGTGGTCAGGTTCTTATCTTGGTGGAGTCTGCCTTTGTCAACTCCCTGAGTGACACCCTTGAGATCTGTATAGCATGCTGGGTTGAACTGTGACTCCCAAATTCATGTGTTGAAGTCTTGACCCCTGTACCTCAGAATATGCCAGGGCAGAGTCAGCAAAAAGAGGAAAGTCTCCAGCCGGTTCCCGAGCTCTGAGCCTGTACCTGCCTTGGGGCCAGGAGAGGCTGAGGTGTGGGAGAAATGTGTATTTGGGTTCCTCTGCCAGAGCATGGTCCTCCGTGGAGTCGGCCTCCTGCAGAGGGGAGCAGCAGGTGCTGTTGCATGCTACCGTCTCCCCTAAGCCTCTCAGGGTCTCCTTAGGAAGAGGGTGCATGTTCCCTCCCAGGTGCAGCTCACCCCTACCTCTGCCCCCCACATCTCCCTCCCCCTGCCCCAGGCAGCCCCCAAGACTTTCCTTGCCCTGAACTCCCATCTGCCTCCTGGGTCTGTCCTCTGTCCCTGGCTGCTCAGGTCAGCCTGGCCTCTGGTTCTCTCCCTTTCTGTCCCTTTTGCACCCTGGCTCCCTCTCTAGGCTGCGGTGCAAGGCTGTGTTGCCGGCTGTTCTGGGGATGCTGACAACATTAGCGTGGCTCATGTTTATCGTGGGTCTAGCTCCTCTTGTACAGACATGGTCCTCTTCCCTTCCTCCGTGGAAGCAGAACCCTGATGCGTGGCGGGGCATGTAGCTGGCCGGAATGAAAACCTGCATCTCCCAGCTTCCTCCCTGACGCTAAGTGGAGCTGAGCTGCTAAGTCGTGGCCAGTGGGTTAAAGGCAGAAGTGCTATAGGAGACTTCCAGGAAGATGGCTAAAAACAAGCTGACTCAGCTGGGACTTCTGGGAGGGGCCCTTTTCTGCTCTGTACGTTTCCAGCTTCCTTCCACCTGTCCTGTGGTCTTGATGGCTGGAGCACCAGCAGCTACCTTGGACCATGGAGTGGCTTTGAGGCTAGACACCATGCGTGGAGGATGAGGAGCAGGACAGCCAGGATCTGGGTCCCTGAGGACATCGAGGAGCTGCCACCTCACCCTCAATCAGTCATCCCCAGATTCTCCCTTCAGAAAGAAATCAGCTTCTTTCTTGTTTATGCTTCTTTTGCTGGGATTGTCATATGCAGCGAAACCAAACTGTGGAGTCCCGATCAGCTGATAGAAATGAGGAAGGGGTTCCCTCCTCTGCACAACTCCATGGCACCACAGGCCCTAGCTGGCAAGAACATGAACTAGGGTGGGGGAGAGCCGTTGTTCTAAGAAATGGATAACCACAAGCAGCCCGCTTGTACAACCTCCTGTTACCAAATACCTAGCTCTGCACGTTAGCTCCAGCAGCATGACCCTGTCTGCATGGGGCCTCTCCAGCATGACCCTGTCTGCATGGGGCCTCTCCAGCGTGACCCTGTCTGCATGGGGCCTCTCCAGCGTGACCCTGTCTGCATGGGGCCTCTCCAGCGTGACCCTGTCTGCATGGGGCCTCTCCAGCGTGACCCTGTCTGCCTGTTGCCTCTCCAGCGTGACACTGTTTGCATGTGGCCTCTCCAGCGTGACCCTGTTTGCATGTCACCTCTCCAGTGTGACCGTTTCCACATGTAGCCTCTCCAGCATGACTCTGTCTGCATGCGGCCTCTCCAGAGTGACCCTGTCTGTATGTGGCCTCTCCAGCATGACCCCGTCTGCATGTGGCCTCTCCAGAGTGACCCTGTCTGCATGTGGCCTCTCCAGAATGACCCTGTCTGCATGTGGCCTCTCCAGAGTGACCCTGTCTGCATGTCGCCTCTCCAGCATGACCGTATCCAGATGTGGCCTCTCCAGCGTGACTCTGTTTTCATGTGGCCTCTCCAGCATGACCCTGTCTGCATGTCGCCTCTCCAGTGTGACCCTATCAAACTTCCCCCTGGCCTCTGCCCCTGGGGAGGTGGCCTTCTCTCTGCCATGCTGCCTGCTGTTCTCTTGCAAGGTGTCTTCAGACTTTCTTTACCCATGACTGTCTCGGTAAATTCTTTTACCACCCGTGACACCAGCCCCAGCCAGTTGCACCTGCACCACTGGCTGCAGTGGATTCCTTGTTGCTGATACTCCACATAACCTTGCTAGGTGTCATATATGATCATTCTTTAACAGAGGGGCAAGCTGAGGCTCAGAGAGGTTAAGGCACTTGCTCAAGGTCACACAGCGGAGAGGTTGTGGGTAAGCCAGGCTGCTGGCTTAGAACACTGCCATGGCATTTCTCAGATCACCTCGCTCAGGGACTCCTGGCAGTTCCCCCTGCGTCATAGAGGTGAGTCTGTCCAGGACGAGCCACTCCAGGCTACCGAGGGCCAGCTGGAGGGCCTGCAGACACCTGCTGTGGAGTCAAGGTCCACACCATCAGCCAGAAGAGAGGTCTCAGGAGGGGCATTAGTGTTTGTCCTCGCTGTGATTGCACCGACTGGCAAATCAGCTGTAGGACAATGGAAAACACAGCAGCAGCTTGTTACTGAGAAGGGAGGACTCAGGGTGGACCTGACCCCTCTGCAGATGGCTTGGTGAGAACGTGGCCTGCACTGTTGGCTCCTCCCTCTGGGTATTGGAATTGCTGGGCAGCCAGAGGCTTACCTGGGCTTACTGGCACCCAGGGAGGAGAAGCCCTGAGCTGTGCGGCTGCTGAGGAAGGCTGTCTGCAGGGGAGAGCCCGAGCGCTGAAGGAGGCCAGTGGGCTCAGCCTGATGTCTCCATTCTCCTTCCTACAGCAACCAGGGTGCTTTGGAAAGGGTCAATTGCCCCCCCTTACCAGGTAGGGATGCAGGAGGGAGAGCGAGCCATTCCTCTAATGTCAGTGACCATGTCTTGGTTCCAAAACCCCTTAAGCCTTGGGTTGTCTATCAGCAAAAAGAGAAGGGATGTGCTCAGGGGGTCTTCGTGGAGATCCTCTGCTCCCCTCGCCTTGAATGTGGAGAGGGCCCAAGACTCCCTAGGGAAGGCAGGTGATATAGACTCCAGGTGTGCCCTGCTCTCTCCTCAGCACCACTCTGCAGCACCACAGGCAGTCTGGGGTGCAGATAACATCTCCCTGGGCACAGCTTCGCACCAGGGCATGCTGGGGGTAGAGCCACACTTGCATAGCCTGTGGATCCCTACAGCCTGGGGATTGGGCTGCTATTCCCATTGCAGGGAGGGAGGTGGTCGGAGGTAGGGTCTGCTCCTACCTAGGTACTTCTGGCCTCACCAGAAGAAGGGGGAGAGTTTGCACATTGAGTGACACCTGCTCCATCTTTGTCCCTGTATTTACATCATTATTCTGAAGGCCAAGAGATAGGACCTGCCGGAGCTCCATGCACAGACCCTGGGCAGGTGCATGTGGGCTTCTGGCTTCCTGGTGTGCACAGCCCCTTCTCTCCCTTCTGGACTGTAGCAGTGTACTAGGGACATTGTAGCCACTGTGTAAAGTCTCCCGCTTTCTGGGACAGTTTTATTCACTCATGTGTGTTGAGAGCTCGTTTTGTGCTGGGGTCCCTGGGGAGAACGCTGGGTTCACTCATAGTTCCACAACAAGGGACCTGTGGCCTTTGTTGTGGACAGGGGCCAAGAGCACGTAGAGAAGGCACTGAACACTCCTTGGCTTCCAGGGGAAAGATCAGGACTGGAAGGATGTGGGAACTGCCCAAAGCTACAGAATCTGCTGTCTCAATGGCTGAGCAGGGTGCAGAGTGCATGCGGCTGTTTGTTCTGTGGCACTGGTAACCTTGGCACTTCTCCAGGTGTGAAGGACAGCATGGGAGTGAGCCTGTGAAGTTATAGGCAGAGTCCAGGCAGCCCCAAGCCTGGGTGGGTTGTAGCTGTCAGAGTGGCAGCAGGTGGACAGAGGGGATGGGCTCGGGGGGAGGTGTGGGGACCCGCTTGAGTGGGAGTCAGCCTGGGGGCATCTCAATCCCTCTGATGCCTGGTTTGGCTCCCAAGCACTACTTAGCCCACCCCACTGAGCCTGTCTGTGCCTGGCCTGGCACTGGTGATGCAGGGACTGAGTCAGGCAGGGCCCGACCCAGAGAGCCCATGGGCAGACAGTGTTGGTGCTGCATGCCCGGGCTTAAACCAGCAAGCCTGATTCTGAATGTCCACAAGCTCTTGGCTGGTGGGGCCACAGGACTGGGACCCAAGCCTCCTAGCGACATGGCTGAGGCCATCTGTCATGGGTCCTTCTCTCAGGCCACCTGGTTCCCTGTGACTCACTTGGTGTTGACCAGGTGCATGGATGCAGAGCTGAGCAGATGGTCCCTGTGTCCCCAGTCTGGTTGGGGGTGCAGGGGTCTGGAGCCCATGTGAGCCTGGTGAGAGCCTGGGAAGGAACCACTTTTTCCATGGCAGAGCTGAGTGCAAAGCACACTGTTGCACTGCTCTGGTGGTGGCATTTTACTCTGTAACCTATTCATCCACATACTCATGTATTTCTCCACCCACCCATTCATCTACTTATCCACCCATTCACCCATCCATCCACTTATCCATCCACCCATCTACATATCCATCTATCCACCCACCCACCCATCCACCCACCCATCCATACATACACCCACCCATCCATCACTTATTTGTTCATCTATCCATCCATTCCCCCATCTCTCCATCCACCTACTCACCCATCCATCCACCATCCATCCATCCATTCATGCATCCATCCACTCATCCATCCATCCATCCATCCATTCACCCACCCACCCATCCACCTATTGACCCATCCATCCACCCATCCATCTACCCATACTTCCATCTATCCACATACCTGCCCAAGCACCCACTCATCCATCCACCCACCCACTCACCTATCCACCCATCCACCCATCCATGCATCCATCCATCAATCCACCCACCCACACATCCATGCATCCATCCATCCATCCACCCACCCACCTGCCTCATCCCTCCGTCTGAAGGTCTTTACAGAACAGCTGTGAAGCTGAGATGCTGGGGACCCAGTGGTTACTCAGGACAGTCATGGACACTGCCATCTAGGCTGTGCTTACTGGCAGGCAGGAGCAGCGAACAGGACCCTTTGCAGATAGTGGTGTCTGCTGTAAAGGAGAGAAAACAGTGAGAGTAAAAGAGTTGAAGAGTTACTGGGGTCTCCTGGGACTCTTTTCCATTCTGAGTCCTGAGCCCACCGAGAAGTAAGGCATGAAGGCAGGTGCTGGAAACCCAAAACCCTTCTATCAATGCCAACCCCTCCATCAGGTTGTAAACCAAAGGGTATCTGAGACAGGTCTCAATAAATTTAAAACACTTATTTTGCCAAGGTGAAGTAAGGGCCTGTGACACAGCCTCAGGAGGTTTTGACGACATGTGCCCAAGGTGGTCAGGGTACAGTTTGCTTTTATTTTTATTTTATTTTATTTTATTGAGATAGAGTCTCACTCTGTTGCTCAGGCTGGAGTGCAGTGGTGCGATCTCGGCTCACTGCAACCTCCGTCTCCCGGGTTCAAGCAATTCTCTGCCCCAGCCTCCCCAGTACCTGGGATTATAGGCGCATGGTACCATGCATGGGTAAGTTTTTGTATTTTTAGTAGAGACGGGGTTTCACCATCTTGGCCAGGCTGGTCTCGAGCTCCTGACCTCGTCATCCACCCACCTCGGTCTCCCAAAGTGCTGGGATTACAGGCATGAGCCACCATGCTTTCTTTTATACATTTTAGGGGGACATGAGACATCAATCAATATGTGTAAGATGTACGTTTGTTGGGTCAGGTAAGGCGGGGCAGCTTGACAACTTGCGGGGGTGGGGGACTTCCAGGTCATAAGTAGGTAAGAGACAAACTTGCATTCTTTTGAGACCGTGATCGGCCTCCCACTGAAACACAATTTAGTCTGGCTCAGGGAATCTGTATTTTTATATCAACAATAGGGCAGAGGAAGCCATCAGATATGGATTTGTCTCAGGGGAGCAGAGGGATGGTGTTGGGTCCTGTCTGTCATTTGTCTATGAGGAATTTCCTTGTGGGCAAATTTTGAGGGAGGTAGTGGCTTTTTAGTCTCTGTAGCCATCTTATTCAGGAGTGGACTGGGAGGCAGGTTTGCCTGAGCAGTACCCAGCTTGACTCTTCCCTTGGCTTGGTAATTTTGGGGACTGAGATGGATTTTCCTTTCACAGGGTGTAGCAGGCTTAGTGCCAGGGCCCAGGAGACTTTTAGGCATCAGGAAACTGGTTTAATGCCTTCTAAAATCAGAATAAACACAGTGCAGCCTGGGCTATAGTCATCTTTCTACCAACGCAGTTATGAAACATCATTTGTAATACTTTAGCCCAGAGGAGGGGCCCACAGAGGCTGTAATGCCAGGCTGCCCGTTATTCCCAATGGAGGCTGGTCGGAGGACACGGCTCAGAGTGAAGGCCAAGGGGGCCTTCCCTGAACCCCAGAGTGGAGGGGTCACCTGCCCAAAGGAACAGCCCAGGCCAGCCTCCAGGGAGCCCCCACCTGTTCAGCAGAGCAGGCCACCCCTGCAGGTGGCAGCGGAGAGTGAGCTCAGCCTGCCCTGCAGACCCCGCCTGGATTTGCCAACCCCTCCCTGCGTGGGGGTGGGTGACAAATGGTGGGAGAGAGGCAGGGGTCGGAGAAGTCAGTTTTCTCCACGTGGAAGGAGGCTTGGGAGTTGGGGAGGACACCCCCACCTTCCCCGGCCTTTTGTTGCCCTACCCAAGGGCCTCGTGGTCACACTTGTGGTGAGCTGGGGGGCCGCCCCTAGGGAGAGGAGAACTGTCGTGGTCCCCTTCATGAAGCCACTCCCAGGACTGCAGGGGGCCGTTTGGGTTTACCCCCCATGAAACTGCCTTTGCAAAAATTATAACTGAGGAAATGATGACAGTGAAAGAAATCAGACCTAACCGACTCCATATTCCTTCTAACCTTTAAGCTGTCCTTATTCAATCCTGGGCGTAGGCCGAACTAACTTTGGGAAGGAATTCAGTTCATGGTTTGACTCTGAAACAAAATTGGTAACAGCCCTTTCCCGAATAGACCCCCTTCTTGCCTGAGGACCAGTCTGCCTTTGTAGGACTAACAAATTAGCTGCAAGATTAGAAATTATGGTTTAGGGGTCTTGTGGCCTCCGGCTGTGAGAGTCTGAACCTCCCCAGATTGCTTCTGGGGATCACCTCACTATTGTAAAACCTGAGATCAGTGCTGGGGATATTCTGCAGACCCCACACTCATGGATCAGCTGACACCACCTAGACCAGTCATCTGGCTCAACCAGTTCCGCCATCCCACCCAGGAACAGAAGACAGCAAGAAAAACTCACTTTGACCCCCTATGAATCCATCTCCAAACGGACCAACCAGCATTCCCCACTTTCTGAGCCCCTACCTGCCAAATTATCTTTAAAAACTCTGATCCCCAAATGCTCGGGGAGACCCTTTTGAGTAATAATAAAACTCTGTTCTCCTGCACAGCTGGCTCTGCGTGAGTTACTCCTTCTCCTTTGCAATTCCCCTGTCTTGATAAATCGGCTGTGTCTAGGCAGCCGGCGAGGTGAACACACTGGGCGGTTACACCAGGATTAATGAAACTGACGCAAAGCTCCTTTGTGCCAAAGCTGGAACTCATGCCTCCCACCCGCCGTCCACGTGGTATCCAGCTGCACGGTCATGCGCTGTCCAGCTGCATGGTCACGTGACATTGCAGCTGTGCCGTGGCGTTGGCAAGACTGTGACACACGGCGGCCCCACGCGGTGTCCACTGCACAGTCACGTGGCATTGCAGCTCCGCCGTGGTGACGGCAAGACTGTGACACACAGCGGCCCCACGCGGTGTCCACTGCACAGTCACGTGGCATTGCAGCTCCGCCGTGGTGACGGCAAGACTGTGACACATGACGGCCCCAAGCGGTGTCCACTGCACAGTCACACGACATTGCAGCACTGCCGTGGTGACAGCAAGACTGTGACACACAGTGGCCCAAACGTGGGGGGCCCTTCCATTCCTGTATTACTTGATGGAAGAAGTCTGTAGGTCAAACGCCCTTGCCAATTACAGTTGCTAGACTTTAAAGTGAAAATGCATTTTCTTGCCCTCACCATTTAAAAGACAAAGCTCAGAACTTTGAGTTTTAAGTGAAAGTCCCAAATGATGGGATTCAATTTCTTTCCCCCAGGTCACAGCCAAAGGGGCTGTCATGCAGGGAGATGAGGGGCCGCACAGGCACTCTGGGGACCTGGGGCTTTCTTTCCTCAGGAGGCCCAGGGGCGCGGGTGAGGTGTCGGCTGCTTTGCACCCAGGCCACGCTGCTTCCAGGGGCCTTGTGGCTGGCAGAGTGGACCTGACGTTTCCCAGACGCCGTTGCGGAGGGCTCCTGTCCTGGGGAGGGCAGATTTTCTCCTGCGTGTGGGTAACTTGTAAGGTGGCAAGGCTGCGTTCCCCGGACCCCCGTCTGCGAGGATTCTCTGAGGTCCAAGTTTCCAACGCCTTTCTCTGGAAAGGTTTTGCCTTTGCTTCTCCCAGAAGCTTGGGTTGCCAGGACTCCCTCAAACTAAATTTTTGGCCTAGGGTTTTTCCAGTCATCCAGTGAGCGTGAGTTCTGGCCACACTGCCCCTGAGGTGGGCTTGTGACTGGAATTTCCTGGGGTGACCTTTTTCTGCTTTTCCCACTGCTTCCAGAGCCAAGGCGACGCGCCCACTGTCTCCCAGCTGGGTGGGCTTCCCCAGGCCGTCTGTGGGGCCTCCTTGATCCTCCCGTGGGCAGGTCTCACGTCCCCTTTGCCTCTGGCTCCCTGTGTGCGTGGCTCACTCAAGCCAATGGGAAAACCCCGGAAACTCTACAGAGAAGTAGGTAAAATCCATGGACAGAGTGTGTAGAACAAGATTACAAATGGCTCTGAAGTATAGGGAAAGAGGCTCGTAGTAAAGAAATGCAAATACAAGCTACACAGAGATGCAGTTTCTCACATATCAGACTGGCAGCGATTCAAAAGCGTGACTGCGGTGGAGGAGGCCATGGGAAACTGGCTCCCTCAGACACTAGGAGGGAAACTGTCCTTCACCCGAGGGAGCGGAAGGTGGCAGTAGCTAACAAAATTACACTGGCTTTGCCCCTTGACCCAGCGATTCCATTTCTAGGAATTTCCCCCGAGGTGACACCTCTGCAAATAGGGAACAGTGCATGCTTGAGGGATGCAGCACAGCCTCATTTGTCACAGCGAGACACTGGGAACGACCTGAGTGCTCATTCACCAGGCAGGGCTGTGCAAATGGGAACAGCCACAGCGCGGGGCATCATGTGGCCGTGGGGAACCTGGGGAGCCTAGGGGGCCTGGGGGGACTGGGGAGAACTCAGGGTGTCGGAGCACGGGAGGACAGACAGGCTGCTCATTGTGGCAGGTGCAGCGCCGAGGGCGTCTGCAGGTGGGTGAGAAGGGGATGTAAGGGGACACACACACACACCACACATGCACATGCAAACCACACACACAAATCACACACATCAGACACACCACACACGCACATGTAAACCACACACACAAATCACACACATCAGATACACCACACATGCACATGTAAACCACACACAATCACACACCACATGCACCATACACGCACATGTAAACCACATACAAATCACACACACTACACACACACTTAAACCGCACACACAAACCACACACATCAGACACACCACACATGCACATGGAGACGACACACACAAATCACACACACCACATACACACATAAACCACACACACACATATCACACACATCATACACACACATAATCCACACACACACAAATCACGGCACACACCATACACGCACATGTAAACCACACACACACAAATCATATACATGCACACACACCACACACGTCAACTATACACACAAAAATCACACATTCCTTCACTACACAGGCATATATAAACTACACACAGAAATCACACAGGCAGACACACTACACATGCATATGTAAATTACACACTCATAAACTACACACACAACCTATACACACAAATCATACATGCACTATACATGCACATATAAACTACACACTATACACACACAAATCACCCACATGCACACACACAGCACATACTACACCTACACCTGTGAACTACACACATACATAAAATACACACACAAACTACACACAGATATAAACCACATACACAAACTATACACAAACACATAAACTACACACACAAACTACATACACATATAAACCACACACGCAAAGTACACACATGTAAACTGCACACACAAACTATACACACATAAACTACACACAAACCACACACACATAAAAACCACATACACAAATTATACACAAACACATAAACTACACACACAAACTACATGCACATATAAACCACGCAAAGTACACATTCATAAACTACACACAAAAACTATACACACATATAAACCACACACACAAAGTACACACATGTAAACTGCACACACAAACTATACACACACATATAAATCACACACAAAGTATACACATGTAAACTGCACACAGAAACTATACACACACAAATAAACCACACACACAAAGTACACACACATAAAGTACACACGAACCACACACACACATATAAACCACATACACAAACTATACACAAACACATAAACTACACACACAAACTACATGCACATGTAAACCACACACACAAAGTACACTTTCATAAACTACACACACAAACTATACACACATATAAACCACACACACAAAGTACACACATGTAAACTGCACACACAAACTATACACACACATATAAATCACACACACAAAGTACACACACATAAACTACACATGCAAACTATACACACACATATAAACCCCACACACAAAGTACACACATGTAAACTACACACAGAAATGATACACATATAAACCACACACACAAACTACACATACATAAACTACACACAGAAACTATACACACACATATAAACCACACACACAAACTACACATACATAAACTACACACACATAAATCACACACAAACTACACACACAAACTCTACACACACATATAAACCACACACAAACTACACACACAAACTCTACACACACATATAAACTACACACACAAACTACACATACATAAACTTCAGAAACTACACATTCATATAAACGATACACACACAAACTACACACATATATAAACCACACACACAAACCACACACACATAAACTGCACACAGAAACTATACACACACATACAAACTATGCAAACTATACACACCCATATAAACCACACACACAAACTATACTCACATAAACTTCACACACAAACTACCCATTCATATAAATCATACACACACAAACTACACACACACATATAAACCACACACACAAAGTATACACACATAAACTACACACATATAAACTACACATGCAAACTATACACACATAAACTAAACACACAGACTACACACATATAAACTACATATGCAAAGTATACACATGCACATAAACCACACACACAAACTGTACACACAATATAAACCATACACATGAGCTACACACACATGTAAACTACATACAGAAACTACACACACACATAAATAACCACCAGGTGGGAGGACTGGGTGGAGTGAGAAGTCAGAGAATCCTTTACATATGTGTTGACTTTTGAAACACGTAAATGTTTACACGTTCAGAAATAGAATTAAATTGACAAGCACAAAAAAATTGAACATTGAATTCAAACAGGAATCAATGAACCTAAAACAATTGACAGCAACACCAGATGGAAACAAGAATGGAAGTGGCTTTCGAAGGGGCCTCTGGCTGTGGGGACCCGCAGCTCCGCGTCGCAGGCCGGTTTTGTCGCAGCAGCAGCGCTGCTGTGGTCGTCTGAAACCACTGTCTGTGGATTAAGGGCTGGTCACCCCCAGCAGCTTGGTGGTCCTCCTTGGAACCAGGACTCTTTCTCTCGCTGGGAGGCGGGAGATAGGGATGTGGAACGGGAAACAAAGAGGGTTCCTGGGGGCTTGTGCTTGGACCGGAAGCGGCAGCAATAACTCATAATTCAAAAAAAATCCATTTTCTGTCTCTAACCACTGAAAGGAGCTAACATTGGTGCTACCCAAGCACACAGGCACATGGGTGGTTTCCGAAGTTGTGCGGCACGATGGGGCCTAAGTCCAGATCTGGGTGGAGGTGGGCACAGGATGAGCTAGAGTATGGATCGCGTCGCGCCAGGAGAGCGGATGCACTTGAGGACAGACGGGGATGCCTCAACAGGCCAAAAAGGCCAGGTGGAAGGGGCTCTGGAGGCCAAATTTGAGACAGGATGAAGAGCATTGGATGAACAGTATAGTCCATGGCGGCCCTAGAAGGAGGGAGCACTTCCTCCTAGAACAATCCAGCCAACATGGGAGAGGCGATGGGTTTGAAAGTCCCCATTTGTGCACTCCCCCTGGAATGAACACATTCAGGTGAAGATCAGCAGCGGATGTTGAAGTCGGCTGAATAGCATCCCCAAGGCAAGTGCCTGTCCTAAGCCCCAGAACCTGTAATCACAGGTCCCCTTGCATGGCAAGAGGGGCTTTGCAAATGTGGCTAAGTGAGGGACCTGGAGATGGGGAGGCCACCCTGGATTATCCAGGTGGGCCCTGGTGATCTTCAGGGTCCTTTTAAGAGGGAGGCAGGAGGGTCAGAGCCTGAGGAGGGGATGCAGTGATGGACGCGGAGCTTGGAGGGATGGGGTTTGGAAACGGAGGAAAGGGCCACACATGTACCCAGGAACACTGGTAGAAGGAATGCAGCCCTGCCGACACCGATCTCGGCCCGGTGTGACCCATTTTGGACTTCCGGTCTACAGAGCTGGGAGAGAATACACCTGTGTTGTTTGTGGTAATCTGTTACAGCAGCCACAGGCAACTAACTCGGGTGCCAAAGCCATTGAGTTAAGGGCTGTTGGGGAACAGGATATTCACGCTCCTAGGACCACCAGTTACAAAGGGGAGGGGGACTTACGCAGGAGCAGCTGGCGACAGTTCTTCCCCCATGACTGGATGTAGCATCACCTGGGAGGGACAGCTGACATGTACCCTGCTGTGACGGGCAGAGGACAGCGTCTCCTGTGAGTGTTGCTGCACAAAACACCACACCCGAATTTCATGCTGGGCCAGTCCGGGTTATGCTGCATCCTGCCGGACAGCTGACCAGACCCTAGAAGCCAGTGGTGTCACTAAAGGAAAAGAGCTCATCTGGTGTAAGAGGCTTAATTGTGGCAGGAGGGCATAGGTGGGGGGGTGGTAAGAAGGAAGTGTCAGGAGGGAATGATGCTGCTAGGCATTTGGAGGCGGAGCTCAGGGGCAGGAAGAGGATTTGGAAGAATGATGGATAGAATTGATGACAGGCTGAATTTTAGGTGTCTGAGAAAAATCCAAGTGGAAACAATTCAGAAGATGCATGAATATTCAAGTATGGGCGTGGAAGAAAAGTCTGGACTGGAAATATATATTTAAAAGTAAATAGGGCAGCCAGTTGCAGTGGCTCATTCCTTTATTTCCAGCACTTTGGGAGGCTGAGGTGGGCAGATCACGAGGTCAGGAGATCGAGACCATCCTGGCCAATATGCTGAAAGCCTGTCTCTATTAAAAATACAAAAATTAGCTGGGCATGGTGGCATGCACCTGTAATCCCAGCTACTTGCGAGGCTGAGGCAGGAGAATCGCTGGAATCTGGGAGTTGGAGGTTGCAGTGAGTCAAGATCGCCACTGCACTCCAGCCTGGCAACAAAGGAAGACTCCATCTCAAAAAAAAAAAAAAAAGTACAGGGTATGAGTGATAGTTAAAGTCACACCTGTGAATTGGTTGAAAGATGTGAAACAGCCAACTCAGGGTCCGAAACGAAATAAGACAGACTCATGTTTCCTGACTTTACTATAACATTGCCTATTGCATTTTCAAGCATGAAGGGGAAAATATATATTTTTTTATGGAGATACTTTGATCTTTCAAATTCTGGACCTGGGATGTGAAATGGCCATGGCCTTAGTTATTTTAACTGGCTAACTCATAGAATCCCTTTTCTGTGTTCCACAAATGTGCCACATTTTGTGCTATTCATCTTCCTTTATCTAGTATATCCTCTTTCATTAATCTATTTTAGTGCAGTAATAGTTATATTTGCAGATCTAAGAACTAATTGCTTGACTTTGTTAATGGATAAAACAAACTGTAATATATTTTAAAGAGGTTTATTCTGAACCAATATGAGTGACTGAGGCCTGGAGAAAACACGCAACCAAGAAGGCTTGAGTAAGTGGTTCCGAGGTGGCCGGGTTGGTTTGGTTTTATACATTTCAGGGAGGCAGGAGTTACAGGCAAAGACATCAACACATGGAAGGTATACACTGGTTCGGTTCAAAAAGGGGGATTATCTTCAGGAGAGGTCTTATAGGTTGTAGGTGGACTTGGGGATTCTCTGGTTTGTGATTGGTTAAAGGAGTAAGGCCCTGTCTACTGCTTAGAGTTGACAGAAAGGAAGGTAAGAATGCTCTGTCAGAGTCAGCCACAATAAAATGCCCTGGTTAGCAAGCCTGATGGCCTGCAGGCCTGACTTACACCTGCTTTGCATGGCCTTAGGGCTTGTTCATAATTTGTTATCTTATGGCCACACAGGGTCTGTTCTGTCAGTCTTAGGATCTCTATTTTAACACCGCTGCTGGTTACTTGTTGAGTCCAAACTCCAAAACAGAGGAGGTATGATGAGGTGTGTCTGACCTCCCTTTCTTTCAGGGCCAGAAACAGCTTTTCAGTTTTCTCTGGGGTCCTCTTGGCCAAGAAGTTTCTGTTCAGTTGGTTGGGGGGCTTAGAATTTTATACTTAGTTTACAACCTAGCGTTGGTCTATATTATATGCTCAGGAAAGTTTCTGAAATAGCCCTGGACTGGTTGGGTGATCTAGGATATGGAAAATGGGCCTGTGTCCTGAATGATGCACTTGAAAATGGAATATAAGACTCTGTAAAACTCAAAGCATCTGTGAACACAAAATTCAATTGAGTTGATTTTCCGCAGGCTTTCTCCACTGCTAACAGTTACAATTCAATCTCAGTTATACATGGTGTCCAAAAGAAGCACATTGTGGTGACCAGCAGAAACCAATTTTTGCTTGAAGAATAAAGGTTGCAATTTTGCAAAGGTCATGTGTTATATAAATTTTCACTAAGATGAGATAGTTTTAAATATTTATGGCATGGACCTAAAATACACTTGCACTCTTTAAGATGAAGGAATCTATTAATTTGTTGGTAAGTGAGGAATTTAAATGGCCACTAATTTCTGGCACGAACAGCTCTGCACGTTTTTCTCCACGTGTTTGTAGCGTGTACCCTTATCGGTCAAGCAACACTGAGGGGTATTCTGTGAGCACATCTTTAGAATGATACATTAAAATTCTAGTAAATCTTAAGGCCTAGATGATATAAACTCTGAAGTCATCTTGCTCAACAGAAATTATCAATAAACCTTTTTATAGTTCACTAAAAATAAAGAACAGAGTTAATAATCTTGACATTTTTATTCCTGCAAGTTGAAAAAGTTTGTGTGTTTTTTCTCAATCTACTAAAGATCTAAATTATTTTGATATAGTTTCAGACTTACTTTGTAACTGAAAGCGATTTTTCTCATTTTTGTTGATAGAAATAAAAACATCAGTAGGAGGGGAAGGAGGAAGGAAGGAGAAGAAAGAGGAAGAATAGGAGGAGAAGAGGAAGAGAGGAAGAAGTCGTGAACAGCCCTCCTGCATTTTGCATCAGGTAGAAAAGTCAGTTGAATGTTGGGAAGAACACAAATAGTAAGTACATAGATTTTCATGTAATAAAAATACCCATTGTTATCAATGCAGGAATGTGCATTTTTTGAGTCACCATAAGATGACAGAGAGCCCCTGGGGCCACCCTTTGGTGTCTCCCAGCTTCCGATGGCAGTCAGGCTTGTAGCAGAGGGACCTGCGTCCCATGTGCCCCTCATCTCCACACTGCCCTAGGCTTGGCTAAGGAAACTATTGTTGTTCATGTTCCCAAGGGCAACTGTGCAAATGTTCCACTTGCCCTTCAGCATGGGGAGATTCTCCTATGCACAGAAGCAAACACAATGGTTTAAAACAGGGATAACTCAGTAGATTACCCCTGATCCATCCAACTGTGCTTTATCGTTATCTTGTTATAGTTTCTGGGTGGAGCCTATTTTTCCAGCTTTTGGCTGCTCTGAGCCGCAGGATGGTAGTAGGGCAGGAGAAGGGGAATTGAATTAATATTTATCGAGGGCCTGACACGAGCCCAGCACTGTGAAGACACCCTCTACACCTGTTATCTTACTAAATCCTCAGTTCAATCCTTTGGGACAAGTGTCACGCTGTTTGCAAATGAGGAAACTAAAACTCATTAAAAATAAGCTACATGCGCAGATCATGTAGATAATATAGAGTAAGGGTTTAAACTCTGGACTCTTTGGGACCAGTAACCATCCTCTTAACTGTTCCACACTTTCTTCCATGTAATGTAGAAATATTTGATTTATTAATAATGTATTCCTTTACAACTTCTGAATGGGATCTGAGATAAATGTATTCATATGCCCTATATATGATAGTTAAGTATAAGGTGAAAATAGGGAACCATTTAGACAAAAGAGAAGATGATTACGTATGAGGCTAACATAGTAAGATCATGAAAATTAAGTTAGTTTCTCATCTCCAGTTAGACAAGAGGAAAGAAGGTGTGGCAGGTCCCTGGCTTTCCCCATTTCTCAGGGCAGACCTTGGGTTGTGATCTGATCTTACGTGGTTCTCCAAGACCTTCAGGGAAGACTTTGTTCTGTTTTGTTAAGTTTGAGGTTATTTCTTAATTTGGTTGTCATTTTGCTGATTAAGAAGCATAACAGAAATTTATTCTATAGAAAAGGAAACTGATTAAGAAAACGCAGTGCTTTTATCAGGGGCTTTCCAGGATAGATGAATAGATACTGTATATTTATTATTTCAACTCGTGAAAAAAATTCAAGGACATGTTATTAAATTGTAGTTTCTTGAAAATCTTTTAACAGTAAATAAATCTAATGCAGACCAAGTACTTTGCCATTCAGTGGTCTTACAATAAAAAGAGACAACCTAAAGAATATCTGGCTTGTGTGTTCCTTAGGTCAACATGTGTAAATAACTAGCAGGTTGGAGGCATTATGTTTCACTTCCACGCAACCTGTTGCATTTTGCAGGGGTCAATGATTTAGGCACCAATGCCCCTGTGTTTTTTAAAGGGACAAAATACAACCACAATTTCCCTGAACTATGGATTTTAGACTCTAGTTACATATGGGCTAATTTAAATATTTCAAGTAAAGCATATAAGAAAATATAGTCAAAATAGCATGATAATAATTTGACAAGTAAACATCATCGCACTTTCTAAAGCATCCATCTGCATGATAAATTATATGGTCCACCCTATTTATCAGGTCCACCCTAATAACAACCCTCTCTTGAAGGATTATATTACCCTGGTCTTTCAAATGAGGAAATTAACAGTATTGAGATCCCAACCAAAAGGTCTGGCTTCAGAGCTGGCGTGCTTAGTCACTGTACTGTGTGGCCACTCTGCGTTCTAGTTTTATTATTATGATCTGGTTGTAAGTGAGTTTACAAGAGACAAGGGGAGAAGAGTAGGCATAAAATAGAAGCCACGATATACAATCACTCATCCAAAATATATGGTTACTATTTCCCTCCTTCCACAGTCACTTAGAAGGCACTCCTGATACATTTTAAACCTAAGTCTTAGAATAGTATTAGATTCCTGAGAAAATGACAGCTTTTCCTCTTTGATAAAAAGTCTTGTATTAATTACATGTCCCCTTTGCTTTGACTGTTATAATAAAGTCTTATATCTTAAAGACGTCCACAATGCCAGCCCTCCACAAGTCTCACCTTCAGCATTTTCTTACTATTCCAGTTTACACTATTTCCTGCTCCTAATTTTTAAGCTTAAATTACTTAGCCATTTTTATGTGGTTATCTATCTGGTCAAGTGACTTGGAAATGGGGCAACAAAATAGAATGATAGATTGGTTTGCATAGGAAAACAGACAGAAGAGGAACGAAAGCAATACAGGACCAGATGGATGCTTCCCAGAAGCAAAGAACAGGGGCCTGCGCTTACAGGAGTATGTGGGCACTGATGGATGAGGTTCTTTATGCCTTCCGAAAGAGGAGCCAAGCCGCTGATGAGTGAGGTAACTAAGAGCTCTCATGCTCTTAGTGAGCTAAGGTCCACCTGATGCTAAGATTACCTCAAAATACTAAACTTAAGGTAAAACCCCAGTTTTAGAATCATATTAAAAATAATTTGGTTAAGGATGAGCTGTGAAATAATTAATTCAAATGCTGCTAACTGAGCACTTCAGTTAGTGCTCCTCAAAGCTGTGAGAAATAGGCTTATGCTCAGTTCCTCCTGGGTGCTGTAAAAGGAACATAAAATCTCTGGACCCCAAACTCACTAAGCTGAAGGGAACAGTCAAGCTGAGAACTGGGTCATGCCAATCAGCCTCCCATTTTGTTCCTAAATAAGACAGCTACAGATCTAAAAGGATACATGCCTCTCTCACAATTTGCTTAAAACGAAATTCTTCGTAGGTCCCAAGATCTTTACCCTAAAACAGTTCTGAATTTCACCCAGAAAATGCAAGGGAACAGCTATCTTCACAGATCCTGGAACAAAGGACAAAGGATAGAACTAAAAGCACCCCCCACCCGCCGCCCTGCACCAAAGGAGTCATATCTGGTTACTTCCTTTGGAAAGGCTAATCAGAAACTGAAAAGAATGTAACTGTTTGTGTCTCACCTATCTGTGACCTGGGAGCTCCCTCCCAGCTTTGAGTCTTCCTGCCTTTGCTTCCAGTTGTTCTGACTTTCCAGACCCAACCAATGTACTTCTTATATCTATTGATTGAAGTCTCATGTCTCCCTAAATGTAAAAATCAAGCTGTGCCCCAACTGCCTTGGGCACATGCTATCAGGACCTCCTGAGGCTGTGTCATGGATGCGTCCTCAACCTTGGCAAAATAAACTTTCTAAATTAACTGAGACCTGTCTCAGATTTTCTGGGTTCACAAATGCATATCTGATTACTTCCTCTACTTTATGTTTATTTTATCTTATGTAAAAATGCAGATTCACTGAGTGTGAGATGAATGCATAATTGACTATTTCTCTACCCCTTCCTTTGACATGTGAAATGTGGATTCAGTGCACACTGATCAAAGACTCAACAGAATGCAACTGCCTGCCCCTTTTATCTACCCTCCCCTTTTTTCTTTTCTTCCTCTTTCTCCTACTGCCTGCTCTTTCCCATTAAATACTAAAATTACCAGGCCCTCTTTGGAAAAAGCATGGATCACAGATTGTTCTTGTTGTTTTGTGTTCCTTTTTCCCGGGTGCGTGCTTAACCTTGTCAAAATAAACCTCTAACATGATTGAGACGCTCCTCAGTCATTTTCTTTGACTTGTCAGTGGTGAAGGTTTGTTGCATGAGTCAACTTCTGTCTCACTCTGAGTCTTCTTCTGGCTGCTTTCAGTGCCAACACAAAGTGCTCCCTCTAACTCCTTGGCAAACACACATTTCTTCTGTCATCACTATCTCTAGGATTTCTGTTTATTGCTTTTGTTATGGCCACTGTCAGCTTTCAGGCATACAAATCCCCAGTTTCTTCTCTATGTGGTTTGTATTTAAGGTGAACAAGGGAGTCTCATGGGTTGGAAAGTCACTGTCTGATATGATCCAGTCCTTTGGCTGCCCTTGGCTAATGAGCAACCTGGTGAGAAATAGTGGCAATGAGAATGCCATATGAGCTTAATAAAAGTCTGGGCTGATACACCCAAGGATTGGCTTCTAATTGCATTTACCAGACAGGGCAGTGTTGAGTGCAGACAACTTTAAAAGGGGCAATTACCCAGCCTGCTAAACCTGCTATAGGTAAAGGAGTGTGCTGGGCAAGGTGCCAGCACATTGTATAAAATGATCATTATAGATTAAAGAAACACAGGCATACCTAGGGCCGTGGGCATTTGATACATCAGATCTAAAAGAATAATATGTATGCTTCAGACCAGTTGTAAGAAAATTGATTTTTCTGTATAGCAGGGTCTAAAGTGCATTTCTAGGAGGCACAGATGCCTCACTAGAAAACTAAAGAAGTTCTGAAAAAAAGCTAATATGATACTTGAGAGCATGTCTGTTTCCATCTTATCTAAGTCACAGGAAGAGGAAACGGCCGCGTTTACGAAAGTGTGAATTGGAAGCCTCTGAAAAATGTGACTGGATGGGATGAAACACTTGTGTGACACTTTAATAATGGGTATCGGCTAGCTCCTCATTATTTTCCACTGCAGTAAAGTGCGGCATGCAGCAAGATGTCAGTGTAGCATTTACCTATGCAGTGCCACTCTGCTGCAGAGTTTTAAGGAATGAAGATAAGGAAGTGCTACTCGAAAGCTGGCAAATAACCACACATTGAAAGATAAAGAAAGTTGACTTTTGCTGAATACCTGCTTTGTGCTAGGCACTGGTTTCCAAATTTTGCTGCACAATGGAATCATCTTGGATCTTTAAAAACTGTTGATGCCTGGTTCCCATGCCTAATATTTTGACTTCATGGATGTTGCATGCAACGTGGACGCTGGGTTTCTAAAAGCTTCCCACTTCATTCTAATGTGCAGCAGTTTGGGAATCACCCTACCAGACTATTCCATTTCTTTTTTTTTTTTCTTCCTTCCTTCCTTCCTTCTTTCCTTCCTTCCTTCCTTCCTCCCTCTCTCCCTCTCTCCCTCCCTCTCTCCCTCCCTCCTTCTCCTTCCTTCCTTCCTTCCTTCCTTCCTTCCTTCCTTCCTTCCTTCCTTCCTTCCTTTCTTTCTTGATGGAGTTTTGCTCCTCTTGCACAGGCTGGAGTGGAATGGCACGATCTCAGCTCACCACAACCTCCATCTCCTGGGTTCAAACGATTCTCCTGCCTCAGCCTCCTGAGTAGCTGGGATTACAGGCATATGCCACCATGCCCGGCTAATTTTCTGTTTTTAGTAGAGATGGGGTTTCTCCATGTTGGTCAGGCTGGTCTCGAACTCTCGACCTCAGGTGATCTGCCCACCTCAGCCTCCCAAAGTGCTGGGATTACAGGTGTGAAACACTGTGCCTGGCCCAAACCATTCCATTTCTACTCATTATCTCACTTAAGCCACAGTGAAGCCTGTTGTTACCGATGAGGTCATAGAGGCTAGATGACCCCAGAAAACTTGCCTAGTTTTGGGTAGTGGAATAGACTAAAATCTGATCCTGTGGCTGTAAAACTCCGAAGCTTGGGTTCTTTTCACTCTTCCACACTGGTAGGATTCATGCACTATAAGGAAAGAAAAGTTTTCTCTTTAATTTGCCCTGTGCTGGTAGGTAGCAAAGAATTGTAATTCATTTAGTAGAGGAAAACAACCATATATATACTGGGCTATTTTATTAAGGACTGGGTTTTGGTTAAGATCAGACAATGAAACCTATTATAAATTTCCAAAGATATGCATGTCAGACCACACTACACCATGTTTCTGGGAGCCCAGAATGCAGAAACAAACATCAAAGTTCTCCTGTAATTTCATGGAAATATTTCATGTTAAAATTGTATTAATTTCAAAAGGTTAGAGTAGAAAATGAGAAGTATACACTTCATTAATTCTCAAGTTCTATATTTGCCAGAAACTTATCTCACCTTCATTAAAAAAAACTCTTATTACTTGATTTCAGAACACTTATAAAACATACTATGGGCCAGGCGAGGGGGCTCACGCCTGTAATCCCAGCACTTTGGGAGGCCGAGGCCGGCAGATCATGAGGTCGGGTGATCGAGACCATCCTGGCTAACACGGTGAAACCCCGTCTCTACTAAAAATACAAAAAATTAGCCAGGCGTGGTGGTGGGTGCCTGTAGTCCCAGCTACTCGGGAGGCTGAGGCAGGAGAATGGTGTGAACCCGGGAGGTGGAGCTTGCAGTGAGCTGAGATCGTGCCACTGCACTGCAGCCTGGGTGACAGAATGAGACTCCATCTCAAAAAAAAAAAAAAAAAAATACTATGGCATCCTCAATAGTGACTCAAAATCAGAGTTACAAAAAATAAGTAAAATGAATTTTCAAAAACAAACAAAACATGTTGAGCTAGGAAAACAAACAGATTGAAAATACATCCTAAAATAAAATCCTATGTAAAATTCAACATAGATAAGAAGATACTTCTGATGCTATACAGAAGAAAAATAAAATAGGTAGGAAAAGAGCTTTTCAGACCAAAATAAAGAAGAGAAGAAAATGGAGGGACGGTCCTGGTAGTATGCCAGAGTAATCTCTTCAGACGCCGTGATCCTCCCGTGGTGTTCTCTTCTCAGGCATCTGACATTAAGAAAGGAAGCTTGCATTTCCCATTCCTATTGTAGTGCTTGATTCTCTATGTTTAGACGTACGCTACCCATGTCCAATAATATTGAACATATAGATTTATATCTTGCTTTTTCTATGTATTATGTCATGTCCATGTTTGACAAATGTTCATATTTATTACATTTAATAACAACAGAAGCTTATCGCCTCATGTTGGGTGTTAAAATTTTCTTAACTATTTTCTTACTCTTGGATATTTAGACTGTTTTCACTTTTTCGATGTAACATTGAACGTCTTGTAAACATAATTAAAAAAAAATGGCCGGCGGGCACGGTGGCTCACGCCTGTAATCCCAGCACTTTGGGAGGCTGAGTCGGGTGGATCACGAGGTCAGGAGATCGAGAAAATCCTGACCAACATAGTGAAACTCCGTTACTACTAAAATACAAAAATTAGCCAGGCATGGTGGCACGTGCCTGTAATCCCAGCTACTCAGGAGGCTGAGGCAGGAGAATCACTTGAACCAGCGAAAATGCCCGGGCGCTGTGGCTCACGCCTGTAATCCCAGCACTTTGGGAGGCAGAGGTCACAAGGTCAGGAGGTCGATCGAGAACATTCTGGCTAACACAGTGAAACCCCATCTCTACTAAAAACACAAAAAAATTAGCCGGGTGTGGTGGCGGGCGCCTGTAATCACAGCTACTCAGGCGGCCAAGGCTGGAAAACCGTGTGAACCCAGGAGGCAGAGGTTGTGGTGAGTGGAGATTGCGCCACTGCACTCCAGCCTGGGTGACAGAGCGAGACTCTGTCTCAAAAAAAAGAAAAAAAAAACTTGTCTTAGGATAAATTCCTGGTAGTGAGATATTGGTTAAAGGAGGATGAAATTTTTATAAATTATATAGCATCTGTATGTTACTTTCTGAATGCATCCATTAAGTTACAAGGTGCACAAGTAGCAGAAGTAGCACATGGTGCATCCCGTTCTCCACAGGACTGCCAGGAAAGGCTTATCTTTTCAGAGAGATTTTATTAGTAATTAGACATAAAATGGTGCTTTGAACTACTGTAACTTGCATGTCTATGGTTATTAGATAGATAAAATTTTCCCACTTTTTAAACTATTTACATTATCTCATATATGATCTTGACAATAGAGTTTTTTCCTTTTGTTTTTTACTGCTCTTGAATTTCCTCCTATTTTTTGAAATAACTTACTTAATATAGAGAGTTGTCTTCATGATGGTAGTATTCTTCGCAATATTTCCCAACTTCGTTGTGTTCCTTATATAGCTCTAGTCTTCTTATGCAGGTATTTTCATTTGTATGCATTTAATTTTTTAAAGAATATCTTCTATTGCTTATAATCTGTGAAAGTTTGTATTTCTTCATCTCCGCTTAGACCTAGTGACTCCCTCATTTTATTATCTGTGAGCTTTTCTCTCCATTAGGTTAGCACAGCCTTCTATAATCTGACCTTATCACACCTTACAGAACCATCATTTGACACACTTCAACTCAGCACCTCAGATCTATTTGGCCCATCCCTTTTCTTCCACACAAACGTACCATGTTCATTTATGCCTTGGGGCATTTGGCCTGTCTTAGATGCTTGCCCATTCTTATTTCCTCTACCCATTCAAAGTCTACCTATCAGGGGGACAGATGCCTTGATTACACTCCTCCCCTTGATTTACTTAGTCACATGAACTCCTATAACCTCCTATAACTTGCATAGTCAATATTTATTTATTTATTTATTTATTTATTTTTTTGAGATGGAGTCTCTCTTTGTCACCAGGCTGGAGTGCAGTGGCGTGATCTCGGCTCACTGCAAGCTCTGCCTCCTGGGTTCATGCCATTCTCCTGCCTCAGCCTCCCAAGTAGCTGGGACTACAGGTGCATGCCACCACGCCTGGCTAACTTTTTTTGGTATTTTTAGTAGAGACGGGGTTTCACCATGTTAGCCAGCATGGTCTCGATCTCCTGACCTCGTGATCTGCACGTCTCAGCCTCCCAAAGTGCTGGGATTACAGGTGTGAGCCACTGCACCTGTCCCATAGTCAATATTTATAATTGGCAATTACCCGTAATTATGTAGTCTCTTGTACATATTTCAAATCTGTTAGCCTTGTCTTCTTAGACAAACTGTGATAATTAAGACCTATATTTCAGTGGTCTTTATAGCAGCTCTGATGACTGTTGAAATACATTTTTGAGTACCCTACATACTCACTGCATATTTAATTGGTTAAGAATTAAATAAAGAAGTGAATTTTTATCTGCAACTCAGTGGGTCAGGCCCATTGAACTCCAAGTGTCTCCAAGTCCTCATCACCTGCCTTTGAGTGACATGACTCACTCAAAGGCAGGTGATAAGAAACAAGAAAACTGGAACTCATACTTTCAGAGATTTTCCTGCCTCGGATGTGAAGTCTCTTGGCTACTGGAGTCTAGAAGGTGACTTCTAAACTGATTCTGACAGGATTGTAACTGGAAACCCTATTATATTCAGTTTCCCTCACTGGTCTCTTTACCCACTCCACACTAGGTGGTACCAGTACTGAGAACTAATTCCCTTCTAAATTCTAAACTCTAAACTGTGTCCACTTTCATCTCACTTGTCCTGCCAGTCCCTCCACTCCCTTTCAAGTTTCCCCCTCAAAGCTTCAATTTGTTCTCTTTGGTTCTGATCGTGTTCATCAGCACTCTCCACATGCTTCAACCCATAAAACTCCAACTTTCAAACTGGATCAAAACAACCATGACTTTTCCCGTTCCTGTCCCTGGGCTATAGAGTGTTGCCACAAGAATTC